>NC_000001.11:212123980-212275496 GCF_000001405.40 Homo sapiens
TTTTTTTTATTTTTTGCAGAGACAAGGTCTCGGGGGCTCTCTTTGTTGCCCAAGTTAGTCTCAAACTCCTGGCCTCAAGTGATCCTCTTGCTTCCGCTGTGATGGTTAATACTGAGTGTCAACTTGATTGGATTGAAGGATGCAAAGTATTGATCCTGGGTGTGTCTGTGAGGGTGTTGCCAAAGGAGATTAACATTTGGGTCAGGGCTGGGCGAGTTGGCTCACACCTGTAATCCCAGCACTTTGGGAGGCCGAGGCAGGCAGATCACAAGGTCAGGAGATTGAGGCCATCCTGGCTCAAGCGGTGAAACCCCGTCTCTACTAAAAATACAAAAAATTAGCCAGGCATAGTGGCAGGCGCCTGTAGTCCCAGCTACTCGGGAGGCTGAGGCAGGAGAATGGCGTGAACCCGGGAGGCGGAGCTTGCAGTGAGCTGAGATCTCACCACTGCACTCCAGCCTGGGCAACAGAGCGAGACTCCATCTCAAAAAAAAAAAAAAAAAAAGCATTTGGGTCAGTGGGCTGGGAAAAGCAGATCCACCCTTAATTTGGGTGGGAACCATCTAATCAGCTGCCAGCATGGCTGGAATATAAAGCAGGAAGAAAAGCATGAGAAGACTAGACTTGGCCTAGCCTCCCAGCGTGCATCTTTCTCCCATGCTGCATGCTTCCTGCCCTCGAACATTGGTCTCAAAGTTCTTCAGCTTTCGGACTCAGACTAGCTCTCCTTGCTCGTTAGCTTGTAGACAGCCTATTGTGGGACCTTGTGATCGTGTGAGTTAATACTTAATAAACTCCCCTTTATATATCTCTGTATCCCATTAGTTCTGTCCCTTTAGAGAACCCTGACTAATACATCCACCTCCCAAAATGCTTCAATTACAGGCCTGAGCCACCGCGCCCAGCCCCTGACACTCCTTGATTTGCACGTAGTCCTCATCCTGCCCTGACTCCATCTGCATCTAGATTTTTCTCCTGGAAAAGCAGGGATTACCTGTAGACCAGGACGACAATGGTATGCTCTAGGTAGGATGCCCAGTCCTACCTAGACATGGACTTAGACTTTGAATTGAGTGATCTGGCACTAAGCCAGGGTCATACTGGACTTGGCCAGCTGTACTGAACCCTCCCTAATCTGGAGTCATTCCCACAGCTGGGCTTCCTGGCGGGTCAGGGTGGGAAGGGATCATTATAGAGCACCACCTATGTCTTAGGCACTATGCTAAATACTTTACATGGATAATTTCACTTTATCTTTACAACAAAGATGCAAGGCAATACTTTTATTATCCCCATCCTAAAGATCAGGAAACTGAGGCTTAGAGAGGTTGAGTAACTTCCCTAAAGCTTGCAAGCGGTGAAGACAGGACTGAACCTAGGCAGTCTGGTTCCACCACACCCCTCTGAGAGCCGAGTTAGCAGGAAGTCATGGGGTGAGCAAGCTCTAGTCACAGCCTCTGCCTGCTTTCCTCCAGCCTGCAATATGCCCAGAGACAGCCATCCTCTGGTGTCTCTATTATTCGTTTGGATGTGGATTACGCTAGTTTTTCCTATGTATGTGGCTTACTGTTTTTAAAAATATATTGTGAGCTCCTTAAGGACAGGGACCGTGTTCCACTATAGTACTGCACACATGCCAAGCAAATAGCTCAGGAAATATGTATTTATTGGGAATCCAAATTGCATGAAGACAGAGATTCAGCATAGAGAACCACAACTGGATCTCAAAGATCTTCTAGACTTCAGAGTCTCATTTTACAGTTGAGGAAACTGAGGCCTGCAAAATAGAATCAGGGCCTTTCTTCAAGGCAGAGCCCTCCCAAATCATTCTCTTCCCCATAGCCCTGGGACCATTGCCAGAACTCTGTACTTATCAACCGAATCATGTGAAGACCTTGATATCCAAAGACTGTAAAATAATTTAAACCCAGTGTCATTTCAGACCAACCAGAGACTAATAGCCAGAAGTAAAGGAGCCTTAGAAATTACCCTGTTCGGCCGGGCGCGGTGGCTCACGCCTGTAATCGCAGCACTTTGGGAGGCCTAGGCGGGCAGATCACGAGGTCAGGAGATCGAGACCATCCTGGCCAACACGGTGAAACCCCGTCTCTACTGAAAAAAATACAAAAAATCAGCCAGGTGTGGTGGCAGGTGCCTGTAGTCCCAGCTACTCGGGAGGCTGAGGCAGGAGAATGGCATGAACCCCAGGAGGTGGAGCTTGCAGTGAGCCGAGATCGCGCCACTGCACTCCAGCCTGGGTGACAGAGCGAGACTCCATCTCAAAAAAAAAAAAAAAGAAAGAAATTACCCCATTCAACTTTCAGGTTGTAAATGAGGAACGGGCCCAGAGATGACAAGTCACCTTCCCATCCTTGTCAGTTGGCCAGTGACTTCTTATTAAATGGGGTTGCCCCTGGCCAGAGGTAACAGAGGCATGCAGGATGCATAGGGCAGCCTTTCCCTGGTTGGGGTGTGTATGTCCAAGTGGGAGTGGGGGTGACTGGCTCCTTCCCCAAGGCCAGACTGCTTGGAGAACAGTGTCCACCCTCCAGCAGAGCCACCCTCCCATGTTCGCCCTCACTCCTCTGTCTCCCAAGCAGTAGAGGCATGGCTGGAACCTGTGGCTGAGCTGGAACCTGATGCCACCACTCCTTCCATCCTTCTCCCCAAGCCTTTCCCTTCCAAGCACCAGCTCTGGCCCAGAGACCAGGTTTGGAATGTCGCATATTCACAAATTCTTTGTTTGTTTTTTTTTTTTTTTTTTGAGACGGAGTCTTGCTCTGTCGCCCAGGCTGGAGTGCAGTGGCACGATCTCAGCTCACTGCACCCTCCACCTCCTGGGTTCACGCCATTCTCCTGCCTCAGCCTCCTGAGTAGCTGGGTCTACAGGCGCCCGCCACCATGCCCGGCTAATTTTTTTGTATTTTTCGTAGAGACGGGGTTTCACCGTGTTAGCCAGGATAGTCTCAATCTCCTGACCTCGTGATCCGCCCACCTCGGCCTCCCAAAGTGCTGGGATTACAGGCATGAGCCACCGCGCCAGGCCACACATTCACAAATTCAAACTTGGCTGCCCTGTGTCTCTTTGGGTAAAAAATACAGAGCTGAGGAAAATAAGTGTCTCCATTCTATTTTGCTTCCCGCAGAAGCCAAGGGCCATAGGAAAGAGAAGTCCCATTGCTTCTTATGGGCTGTATTGGAGTATCATGTGAGCTGGGAGAATTAAAGAAGGCTGTTTTGTCCTCACTAGACATTAATAGTGACCTTCCTCAGGGGGTCACCCCTGGCCCTCCCGTGCATTCCCAAGCACAGTATGGATCAAGAAAAAAGACCTTTCTGAAGGCTGAAAAGGATTGTTCCTGACAGGCCTGCAAAAACAGCAAACAGCATATGGGGGTACTGAGCTCTGCATGGGGAATCTGTCAGGCTTAACAAAGGGCGGGCTCTCCCAGGGACAGGAAGTTAGAAGGTGAACTGCAGGGAACCTCCTTTCATGGGGATGGAGAACCGCTCTCTCCCACTTCCCTCTGGCTGTGCTTCCACAGAAGAGCTGAGCGGCTGGCTCTCTCTATCTGTCTACCCAGGCCTTGAAGCAGTGCAGGGAAATTCTCTCTCCTCTCTGGCTAAATCCCACCCCCAGATGAAGGAAACTAATTTCTTCCTTCTTTCCTGCAACCAAATACTTTTTTTTTTTTTTTTTTGAGACGGAGTTTTGCTCTTGTTGCCCAGGCTGGAATGCAATGGCGCGATCTCAGCAGCTCACCACAACCTCTGCCTCCCGGTTCAAGCGATTCTCCTGCCTCAGCCACCTGAGTAGCTGGGATTACAAGCATGCACCATCATGCCTGGCTAATTTTTTGTATTTTTAGTAGGGACAGGGTTTCCCCGTGTTGGTCAGGCTTGGTCTCGAACTCCCGACCTCAGATGATCCACCCGCCTCGGCCTCACAAAGTGCTGGGATTACAGGCGTGAGTCACCGCACCCAGCTTCCAAATACTTTTTTTTTTTTTTTTTTTTTTTTTTTTCAGATAGTCTCGCTCTGTCATCCAGGCTGGAGTGCAGTGGCGCGACCTCAACTCACTGCAACCTCCACCTCCCAGGTTCAAGCAATTCTCTTGACTCAGCCTGCTAAGTAGCTGTGATTACAGGCGTGCACCACCACACCTGGCTGATTTTTGTATTTTTAGTAGAGACGGAGGTTTCACCATGTTGGCCAGGCTGGTCTTGAACTCCTGACATCAAGTGATCCACCTGCCTCGGCCTCCCAAAGTGCTGGGATTACAGGCATGAGCCACCATGCCTGGCCTAAGGCAACGAAATACTACCAGAGAAAGTCACCATAAGGCAGATGGGTTTCTCTATAATTCAGAATCTCCAATTCCACATGGGACCAAAGGATGCTCGAAAATATGACTACTGTGCTCTGAAAATCTAGTACTATAGCTCACTATTCCTACTATAATCAACTATTTCAAACCTTCTGCACTCTCCCGATACCTCTGACACTCCCCCACCCCCCACTCTCCACCGATGTCATAATCTTTGAGTTCTTCCTTGTGTTACCAAATGCTTAAACCCACCCACACCTGCACCCCTCCTTCTTGCCTCCTGTTGCAATTGAAGAGTTTCTCTTCTGACTGTCTAATCAAGAGCAGCTCCACCACTTGTGTTTTACATCCCATTTTCTCCCACCTTTTCATCAACCTTCTCTCTAAATTACCCAGTTCCTCTCTTGTGCATTTCATCATTCCCTCTCTGTTGGATCCATCTCATGGTTATTTAAAGGAGCTGATATCCCTGTAAAAAAAAAAAAAAAATCCTCTGCCTCTACACACTCTAATTCCTCAAAATAGTTCTACACTCTCTAGTTCCATTTCTCACCTCCCGTTCACCCCTCAACCCGCTCCAATCTGACTTTTGCTCTCATTATTCTACTGGAACAGCTCTTGCAACAGTCATCAGTGACATTCGTGTTGTTTCATACAGTGGTCACCTTTCAGGCCTCATCTTGGCTCTTCATCATTTGACACTGTTGAATGATTGACCATTTGGTCTTTCTTATTTAAAGAAAAAAAAAACTTTCCTTGTCTTCTATGATGAAACACTCTTCCTGCTTAATTCCTATGTCTTTGCCCACTCTTGCTCAGTCTCATTTGCAGGTTCATTTTCTCTACCTAGTCATTAATTGTTAGAGTTCAAGTCATGGCATTCTCAAGTCTGTTTATGCTAAAGTGCTCTTGAACACCACACTGTACTGCTCCATTAAAATGTTTAAATCTGCCAAGCGTGGTGGCTCACGCCTGTAATCCCAGCCCCAGCACTTGGGGAGGCTTAGGTGGGAGGATCGCTTGAGGCCGGATGTTTGAGACTAAACTGGGCAATGTAGTGAGACGCTCCTGTCTCTACAAAAAGAAATATTTTTAATTAGCCAGGCATGGTGGCACACACCTGTAGTCCCAGCTTCTCAGAAGGCTGAGGTGGTAGGATCACTTGAGCCCCAGTTTGAGGCTGCAGTGAGCTATGATTGTGCCACTGTACTCTAGCCTGGGTGACAGTAAGACCTCATCTCGTTAAAAAAAAAGTTTAAATCTGCAACATATTACAAACATCTCCCATATCTGCAAAATTATTTTACTAAGTGCATACTATGGATTTGTCATAACTTATTTACTTAGTCCTCCATTGTTGGTTATTTAGGTAGTTTCTAATATTTTTACCTTTATAAATAGCACTGCAATAAACGTCCTCATTTGGTTCTTTTTACATATGATTTGACAGGATGAATAATGCTAACATTAATTACTACTATCCAGTCAGTAATAAATTACTATAGGGAAACTGGGGATGTTTGGAATGTACACTTAATCTTTTGAGGTCAATAACATGGAGTGCAACTACTAAGCAACCACACCAGAACATTGTCCAGGACGGAATCTGAGGCAAAAAAGAAAACTACTTGCTCTGTCTAGGGTGATATATCTGCCTTTTCCTGTTCTTTGGAGCTCTCAATGTGAGAGGCATCACCACGGACTGGCAAGGGCTTCCGGCCAAGGCTCTGCTCACTCTGGAAGTCACAGGCCTTTTGCCTTATTCCCAGGCTATACTTTGGCGGAAAACCAGTCCTGATGGAGTCCATTTCCAAGGCCCGGAACCAGCCCTGGAACTGATCGGTCAGGCCTGGAGCTGGATGGCCACAGAACAAAGCAGGTCAGCAGAAGTCAGTGCCAGAAAGGTGGCAAGAGAAGGCTGACCGAGCAGACAGGGTGGGTAGAGTCATGGGTGTAAGAGACAATGGGTTGGGAGAGTTGGCACAAACAGCTCAAGAGTTCCTCTTCATCTCTCCAAATAACTTAATATTAGAGTGCCCAGGGCTCAGTGCTTGGCTTTATCTTTTCTATCTTTTTTCTCTACACTCACTTTCTTATTGAGCTCATCAAGACTCAGCCTCAAATACCAGCCGTACACAGACAATTCCCGATTTTATGTTTCTAGCCTGGCCTTCAGCCTGAATGCCTGGCCTGTATATCCAACTGCAAAGCTGACATCTCCACTGGGATGTTTAACACGCATCTCAAATTTAACATGTTTAAAACTGAGTTCCTAATTTTACCCACCCTTACAACCCCAAATGTGATCTAACCTCAGGTAATAGCCATGCCTCTCTCCCAGTTTCAGGCCAAAAGCTTGAAGTCATCCTTAGTGTCTTTCTTCTTCTTACAACCAATATCCAACTCATAACCAAATCCTATTGGCTTTATTTATTTATTTATTTATTTATTTATTTTTTCAGACAGAGTCTCGCTCTGTCACCCAGGCTGGAGTGCAGTGATGCCATCTTGGCTCACTGCAACCTCCGCCTCCTGGGTTCAAGCAATTCTCCCACCTCAGACTCCCAAGTTGCTGGGACTACAGGTGTGCACCACCACACCTGGCTAATTTTTGTATTTTTTGTAGAGACGAGGTTTCACCATGTTGACCAGGCTGGTCTCAAACTCCTGACCCTAAGTGATCCACAGGCCTTGGCCTCCCAAAGTGCTAGGATTACAGGCATGAGCCACTGCGCCCAGCCCTACTGGCTTTATTTTCACAATATATTCAGACTCTGCTTCCACTTATGGAGAAATAACTGAAACAGGAGTTACTTTCTCCTGCTAAACAACTGAGAAGCTGGATCAAACACACAAAACAGCTATTTCCAGACATAGACAAAAGGCAGTACAGGACTGACCACTCAGGGAAGGGAAAAAATGAGGTGAACCCACAGTTGTGAAAACAATTTCCAGATTTCAATACAGGAAAGGAGAACTCAGAAAGAGCCTCATGGTCTTCCTGAGTTGAGGAGTCAGAGACTGGAGTATGGGGAAGCCAAATCAGCTAGAATTTGCTAGATAAAATACCAGTGAGGAGTGAGCTACACAGAGAAAGAGCTCCGTATAAAACATTGAGTCTCTAGCTGAATACCAGTAATGCATGCATAGGGTGACACTCCACAAGGCCAGGCCAAAGAACAACTGCTGGGGAAAGAACAATGACTGAGGAGATGGAAGCCAAACATCCTTAGAGCTCATGTAGGGCTGGGATCATTCAAGTTCTGACCAGTCAGAGTAGAGAGACCTTGTGACAGATTGTATTTCCCAAAGATGGACCAATAGTTCCAATCTTGCAACCTTGCTAGTCCCACATCAAGAGGTGGAGTCTAATTCCATCCTCCTTTAATCTGGGAAAATTTATGATTGTTTCTACCAATTGAATATGGTAATGAAGCTGTGTTGACTTTGAGCCTAGGTTGGAAAGGAAGTGTAGCTTCCAGACACCAATGTCATCTACCACCTCTCCCGCAGCTCGCACTTGTGACCACCTGGGTGGTCCCTTAGGATCAGCTGATAGAGGAGGAAAAAGCACCAGCCTTGGTTCACAGATGGGTCCAGCCACAAATGGCGCTGCCTCTCAGCCCATTTCAGGGCAGCTCTGAAAGACAGTGGTAAGGGGAAATCTTCCCTGTAGACATTGCTCCTATGCATCTGTCATTCATTGATGAGGAAAGAGAAGTTGCATGAGGTAAAAAGTACAAAGATTCATAGGTTGTGGTGAATGGCTTGATTGTATTAGTCAGGGTCCTGGAAGGTGAAAGATTGGATTAGGGACAAGGAGGTCTGAGAGGTGTGTGTGTGTGTGAAGACACAGTTACAAAGTGTGAAGATCTTTGTACCACAAGTTAATTCCCACAAGAAAGCATCAGCCAAGCAGGCAGAGTGACTCAGCCAGCTGATGTCAGATAGCCTCTGTCATGGGCCCCATTAGTGCCACTCTCGAAGACTGGTCTAGCTATTGCTGCTGCAAATGCCCAACCTGCCAGAAACAGAAACTGTTACTCAGTCTCAATACAGCACCATCCTTTGAGGAGACAATCCAATCATTTGGTGGCAAATTGATTACATTGGGCCTTCTTCAGTCTGGAAGAGATAACAGTTTACCTTGACTGGGGATTAAAACCTATTCCATGAACTCAAATGAATCACAGATATACATGTAAAATGTAAAGTTATATAACTTTTAGAAAAAACAGAGGAGACAGCCAGGCACGGTGGCTCACGCCTATAATCCCAGCACTTTGGGAGTCCGAGGTGGGTGGATCACCTGAGGTTGGGAGTTCAAGACCAGCCTGACCAACATGGGGAAACCCCGTCTCCATTTAAAAAAATACAAAAATTAGCTGAGTGTCGTAGTTCATGCCTGTAATCCCAGCTACTCAGGAGGCTGGGGTAGGAGAATCACCTGAACCCGGGAGGTGGAGATTGTAGTGAGCCAAGATCATGCCACTGCACTCCACCCTGGGCAACAGAGCAAGACTCTATCTGAAAAAAAAAAGAAAAGAAAAAACAGAGGAGAATATCTTTGGGCTCTGCCAAGAGTTAGTGAAAGAGTTCTTAGACTTGATACTAAAAGCATAATCCATAAAAGGAAAATTTGATAATTTCTCCTGATCAAAATTAAAAACTTGCTCTGTGAAAGACCCTGTGGAAAGGATGAAAAGACAAGCTACAACTGGAAGAAAATATTTGCAAAGCACGTATCTAACAAAAGACTGGTATCTAAAATACATAAAGAACTCTTAAAACGCAACAGTTAAAAAAAATTGAATTAGAAAATGGGCAAAAGATATCCACAGACATTTTACTGAAGAGAATATGTGGACAGTAAATAAGCACATGAAGAGAGATATTCAGTATCATTAGCCATTAAATAAATACAAATTAAAGCAATAATGACATATCACTACACACAAAATTAAAAAATAATGACAACATCAAAGGCTGGCAGGGATTTGGAGAAACTGGATCAGTCATACATTGCTGGTGCGAATGTGAAATGGTACAGAAACTCTGGAAAACAGTTTGGCAGTTTTTAATAAAACCAAATGTGCAATTACCATATGACCCAGCAAGTGTACTCCTGGGCATTTATCCCAGAGACATGAAGACTTATGTTCACAAAAAAACCTGTATACAAATGTTCATAGAAGCTTTATTCATAACAGCCAAAAAACTGGAGACAGCCCAGATGTCCTTCAGTGGGCGACTGGTTAAACAAACTGGTACATTCATACCATGGGATACTCAGCAATAAAAAGGAATGAACTATTGATGAATGCAACATCTTGGATGAATCTTCAGGCAATTATGCTGAATAAAAAGAGTCAATTCTGTACTGTATGGTTCCAACATTTCATAAAAATGCTTTTAAAAAGCTTAACATTGGGCCAGGCACAGTGGCTCATGCCTGCCATCCCAGCATTTTGGGAGGCCAAGGTGAGTGGATCACAAGGTCAGGAGTTTGAGACTGGCCTGACCAACATGATGAAACCCTGTCTCTACTACAAATACAAAAATTAGCCAGTCATGGTGGCACGCACCTATAATCCCAGCTACTCAGGAGGCTGAGGCCTGGGCGACAGAGCAAGACTTCATCTCAAAAAAAAAAGTTCAACATCACTTATCATTAGAAAAATGTAAATCAAAACCACAATGAAATACCATCTCACACCAGTCAGAATGGCTATTAAAAAGTCGAAAAATAGGCCACACACGGTGGCTCACGCCTGTAATCCCAGCACTTTGGGAGGCTGAGATGGGCAGATCACCTGAGGTCGGGAGTTCGAGACCAGCCTGACCAACATGGAGAAACCCCATCTCTACTAAAAATACAAAATTAGCCAGGCATGGTGGTGCATGACTGTAATCCCAGCTACTCGGGAGGCTGAGGCAGGAGAATTGCTTGAACCCAGGAGATGGACGTTACAGTGAGCCAAGATTGCACCATTGCACTCTAGACTGGGCAACAGAGTGAGACTCCATCTCAAAAAAAAAAAAAAAAAGAAAAAAAAGAGTAAAAAAGTAACAGATGCTGGCAAGATTGCAGAGAGCAGAGAAAAAGGAACAAATGCTTATACACTGTTCATGGTAGTGTAAATTAGTTCAACCATTGTGGAAAGCAATGTGGTGATTCCGCAAGGAGCTAGAAACAGAACTACCCTCCAACCCAGGAATCCCATTACTTGGTATATACCCAAAGGAACATAAAGCATTCTCACATGCACACGTATGTTCATTGCAGCACTGTTCACAATAGCAAAGACATGGAATCAACCCAAATGTCCATCATTGCTAGACTGGATAAAGAAAATGTGGTACATATACACCATGGAATACTATGTAGCCATAAAAAACAACAAGATCATTTCATTTGCAGGAACATGGATGAAGCTGGAAACCGTTATCCTTAGCAATGAATGCAGGAACAGAAAACCAAATACCACGTGTTCTCACTGATAAGTGAGAGCTAAATGATAAGAACTCATGGACGCAAAGAGGGGAACAAAAGACACTGAGGCCTACCTGAGGGTGGAGGGTGAGAGGAAGGAGAGGATCAGGAAAAATAACTAACAGGTTCTAGGCTTAATATCTGGTGACAAAATAATCTGTGCAACAAACCTCTGTGACATGAGTTTACCTATATAACAAGCCTGCACATGTACCCCTGAACTTAAAATAAAATTTTTTAAGTCTTTTCTAAAATATTTTTGAAATGACAAAATTGTAGAAATGGAGAACAGATTAGTGGTTGTCAAGGGTTAGGGACAGGGAAAGGGAGGGAGAGATGAGTGTGTTATAAAAGGCAAACACAGGGATCCTTGTGGGAAGGGAACTGTTCTGTACCTTGATGGCGGTGGTGGATATACAAGCCTACCATGTGATAAAATTTGATAGAACTAAACACATGCACACACACACATGAGTGCAAGTAAAACTGGAGCAATCTGAATAAGTTTGGGTAGTTGTATCAATGCCCATATCCTGGTTGTGATATTGTACTACAGTTTTGCAAGATGTTACCTTTGGGGGAAACTGGATAAAGGGTACGTGTAGTATTTCTTACAACTGCATGTGCATTTACAATTATCTCAAAAATAAAAGTTTAATTTTAAAACAACATATTCCACATTGATCTTCCAAATTTGAATTTGCCTTTCTTACCAGTAGAGCCTCAGCCAACACCAGTATCCAGAGAACATTTGCTCCACTGACATGAGATTGAGTATAACCTTGGCTTGGACCAAGGGCCTTACTTTTCAGCAAAAGGTGTGTGGAAGTGGGCACGTGACCAAGGTATGCACTAGTTCTATCTCATACCCCAAAGCTACTGGCCTGATAGAGTGATGGAGTGGCTGCTTAAAGATGCAGCTGAAAAAAAAGCTATTAGAACTGATAAACAAATTCTGTAAAGTTGCAAGATACGAAATGAACCTGCAAAAATCAGTAGCATTTCTATATGCCAACAGTGAACAACCTGGAAAAGAAATCAAGAAAGTAATCCAATTTGCAATAGCTATGAATAAAATAAAATACCTAGGAATAAATTTAACCAAAGAAGTGAAAGATCCCTACAATGCAAACTATAAGACATTGATGCAAGAAATTGAAGAGGCCACAAGAAAAGGAAAGATATTCCATGTTCATGGATTGGAAGAATTAATGTTGTTAAAATGTTCATACTACCCAAAGCAATCTACAGATTTAATGAACTCTCTATATCTCTATCAAAATATCAATGACATTCTTCATAGAAAAAGGAAAAGCAATCCTAAAATTTATATGGAACCACAAAAGACCCTGAATAGCCAAAGCCATCCTGAGCAAAAAGAACAAAGTGGGAGGAATCACATTACCCAACTTCTTATACTATAGAACTATCATAACTAAAACAGCATGGTACTTGCATAAAACCAGACACATAGACCAATGGAACAGAGTAAAGAACCCAGAAATAAATCCATACATCTACAGTGAACTCAGTTTTGACAAAGGTGCCAAGAACATACATGGGGCAAAGGACAATATCTTCAATAAATGGTGCTGGGGAAATTGGATATCCATATGCAGGATGACACTATATCCCTGTCTGTCACTATATACAAAAATCAAATCAAAATTGATTAAAGACTTAAATCTGGCTAGGTGCAGTGGGTCACGCCTGTAATCCCAGCACTTTGGGAGGCCGAGGTGGGCGGAATTCCTGAGCTCAGGAGTTCGAGACCAGCCTGGGCAACACGGTGAAACCCCGTCTCTACTAAAATACAAAAAAAAATTAGCCGGGTGCTGCAGCGTGCGCCTGTAATCTCAGCTACTGGGGAGGCTGAGGCAGTAGGATCGCTTGAACCTAGGAGGCAGAGGTTGCAGTGAGCTGAGATTGTGCCACAGCACTCCAGCCTAGGCGACAGAGCAAGACTGTCTTAAAAAAAAAAAAAAAAAAAAAAGAGAGAGACTTAAATCTAATACCTCAAACTATGAAAATACTAAAAGAAAACATTGGGGAAACTCTCCAGGACAGTGGTCAGAGCAAAGATTTCTTAATACTCCAAAAGCACAGGCAACCAAAGCAAAAATGGACAAATGGGATTGCCTCAAATTAAAAACTTCTGCACAGGGCTGGTGTAGTGGCTCATGCCTGTAATCTCAGCACTTTGGGAGGCTAAGATGGAAGGATCACTTGAGGTCAGGAGTTCAAGACCAGCCTAGTCAACATAATGAGACCCCATCTCTAAAAAACAAAAAACAAATTAAAAAAAAACCACTTCTGCATGGCAAGGGAAACAATCAACAAAGTGAAGAGACAGCTCACAGAATGGAGAAAATATATGCAAACTATCCATCAGAGAAGGGATTAATAAGAATATATAAGGAGCTCAAACAACTCAATAGGGAAAAATCTAATAATCTAATTAAAAATAAGCAAAAGATCTAAATAGACCTTTCTTAAAAGAAACATATCAATGGCAAACAGATATATGAAAAGTTGCTCAACATGATTGATTATCAGAAAAATGCAAATAAAAACTACAGTGAGATATCATCTCATCCTGGTTCAAATGGCTTTTATCCAAAAGATGCAATAGGAATTTTTGGCAAGGATGTGGAGAAAAGGGAACCCTCGTACACTGTTGGTGGCAATGTAAATTAGTACAACCACTATGGAGAACAGTTTGGAGGTTCCTCAAAAAGTTAAAAATAGAACTACCATATGATCCAGGAATCCCACTGCTAAGTACACACCCAATAGAAAGGAAATCAGTATATTAAAGAGATATCTGCACTCCCATGTTTATTGCAGCACTATGCACAATAGCCAAGATTTGGAATCAACCTAAGTGTCCATCAACAGATGAATGGCTAAAGTAAATGTGGTACATATACATAATGGATTACTATTCGACCATAAAAAAGAATGAGATCCTGTCATTTGCAACAACATGGATGGAACTGGAGGACATTATGTTAAGTGAAATAAGCCAGGCAGAGAAAGACAAACTTCACATGTTCTCACTGATTTGTGGAAGCTAAAAATTAAAACAACTGAACTCATGGAGATAGAGAATAAAAGGGTGATTACCAGAAGCTGGGAAAGGTAGTGGGGAAAGTCGTGGCAGGAGGGGGAGAGGGAAATGATTGTTAATGGGTACAAAAATATGGTTAGAGACAATGAATAAGATCTAGTATTTGATAGCACAAGGTTACTACAGTCAGCAATAATTTGTTGTACATTTTAGATTAACTGAGTACAATTGGAATGTTCATAACACAAAGAAATGATGAATGCTTAAAGTGACAGTTACTCCATTTTTTAAAACCTTTCCTATGGTGCTGAGATAAATACCCCATTTATCCTGATGTGAATATTACACATTGTATGCTTGTTTCAAAATATCTCATGTGCCCCATAAATATATACTATGTATCCATAAAATTAAAAATTAAAAAACAATTTTAAAATGATGCAGCTGAGGTGCCAAATTGGAGTTGATATCCCACAAAGTTGAGGTGTCATCCTCTAGGGTATCATCCTAAATCAACAACCATGATATGACACTGTGTCCCCAGTGGGCAGAATACATAGGTCCAGCAACCAAGGTGTAGACCCACTTACCATCACTCCAGTGACCTCCTGGAGGAATATGCGCATCCTTTCTCTGCAACTTTGGCTTCTGTGGCTCTGGAAGTCCTAGTTTCCAAAGGGACAATGCTTCCACCAGGAGGAGGTATGGTAGTTTCAGTAAACAAAGCTATGGCTGCTGCCCGGTCACTAGGCTCCTCATGCCCGGTCACTAGGCTCCTCATGCCAAGAGACCAGCACACAAGGAAGGGAGTGACCACACAGGCTGACGTAATTGACCCTGATCATAAGGCGATAAGGCTGTGTAATGCTGTGAGGGCAGAGAAGAATTTCAAATTCATGTAATCCACTGAGATATCTCCTGACACTTCCTTTCCTAATTATAGAGGTAAGTGGAGAAGTGCAGCCTTGATCTGAGAAAGGCAAGGTGACTCGTGGCTAAGACTTCTTAGGGATGAAGGTCTGGGTCATACCACACACAAGGTAAGCCGCTTGGAACAGCAGAGGTGCTAGCGAAGGGTGAGGGGACTCTAGAATGGGTAGTAGAGGAGGGAGATGATGAATGTTGATGTGGCCTTAAGACTAGCTGCAGCAGAGGGGACGGAGGGAGGGGTGGCTAGTTCATCCCGCTAACCTTTAAGTTTCCCGAGGAAATAGACCAAGCAGAATCCTAGAGAAGTTATTCCCAGATGGAGTGAATTTATTATAAGAAGCAAATGGATTTGAATGGTGAAAGGAGTGGTTTGTGGTTTGTAGTGGACTCTGTGATAGAACATCCAAATTCCCGCTTCAGAACTAAGACAGTCATCTCCTCAGCATCCAAGAGTGTTGACTATTGATGGCTCACAGCTTTGTCCCTCTCCGGGCAATTGCTGGCAGCTGAAGGGAGCTTCCTTGGCTCAATGCTACACCCCCTCACTGGGGGCAGCCCACATCCAAAGACTGGTCCATATGGGGTTACAAAGCCTTGCCCAGTGCCTTAGATTGAGGCAATTCAGTCTAAAAAGTATCTCAAAGTTAACTTGTTCACAGCCAAGTCTCTCTCTCTAAACCTAAACCCATTTCAGTACATGCCAATTCCATTCTTCTTGTCCAGTCTGAAACTTTGCAGTCTTCCTTGACTTTTCTCTTTCTCTGGTTCCCCACATCTAATTTGCCAGCAAATCCTGTTGGCTCTACTTTCATCTCCACAATTTGACCGTCTCTCAGCACACCACTGCTAACCCTCTGGTCCAAATCCCTATGAACTCTCACCTGGAACACACTATAGCCTCCCAACTGGCCTCCCTGCTTCTGCACTTGCCCCACCCAATCTATTCCAAGCAAGCAGCCAAAGTGATCCTGTTAAGAGCTAAGTCTGTTCATGTTACTTCTCTAACAAATTCCTTTAGTGGCTTCTCATCACACTCAGACTACAAGCTAAAATCTTTACAAGAGCCTCCAAAGCCCTCCATGTCCTGGCGCTGGGCCACCTGTCTGACCTCCTCCCCTGCCACTCTTCCCCTGGCCCAGTTCCAGCCTGTGGCCTCCATGCTGCTCCTCAGGCACACCAAGGACACTCCTGCCACAGACCCTGTGCACTTGCTTTTCCTTCGGCCTGGAAAGCTTTTCTCCCAGATAGCCACATGCCTCCATCCCTCACTTACTTTGGGACTTTGCTCAAATATCACCTTGACACAGAGATGTTTCCAGACCATCTCATAAGTCATAACAAACTCTACTCCCATCTTTTTTTTTTTTTTTTAACAGGGTCTTGCTCTGTCACCCAGGCTGGAGTAGAGTGGCACGATCTCGGCTCACTGCAACCTCCACCTCCCGGATTCAAGCAATTATTGTGCCTCAGCCTCCTGAGTAGCTGGGACTACAGGTGTGCGCCAGCATGGCCCGGCTAATTTTTGTATTTTTAGTAGAGACGGGTTTTCACTATGTTGGCCAGGCTGGTCTTGAACTCCTGACCTCAGGTGATCCACCCGCCTTGGCCTCCCAAAGTGCTGGGATTACAGGCATGAGCCACCACGCCTGGCCCTCTACTCCCATCTTATCACCCACACCCTCTACTCCCCTTTGCCCTGCTTTAGCACTTACCACCTGCCGTCAATTTTTGTTTACTATCTATCTGCCTCCACTAGAATGTAACATGAGTGAGGACAGGGACTTTGTCTTTGTTTATTGCACAATATCTCCAGTTCCTGCAACAGTGCTTGGCATGTAGTAGATACGCAAAAGAATTTGTTGAATGAACAGGTAAAGTTTCAGGGACTTCATAGTCTAGGACTTCACACTACCCCACTCCACTCCAAAACAGCTACCTCCTGAAATGCAGATGCACCAAAACAACCACAGAAACACTCATAGATAGAAAAAGAAACATAGCACGGCCAGACAGCCATGGGAAACAACACAGTCACTGACCTGAGGGGAAAGAGGCTCCCTGACTTGTGAATTCACTCTCCTGAACCACCTGGATTGCAACGGGACTCAAAGTTGTAGGAAGAAAGAAAAGACCTGAGCCTGCAGGAATAACTTGTGGCCTGACACCAAAGCTGATTTGTCCATTAGGCAGAGGAAACTTAGCACCAAGGGCTCCTGACACTTTTAGGTGCCCATGAAAATATTTCAATTTCTTTTGGAATCAGAAGAAAAATGAGCATAATAATTAATATGAGGTAATAAACCAAGTTGGGACTATCATCATCTTTATACTAATGCAGTCATAAAATATAGTTTTTCTTTTATTTTTGGTTTTTTTTGTTTGTTTGTTTTGTTTGGAGAGAGCAACCAGGAAGGCAAAAGGGACCCATGAAAATGACAATGTGGCCCTGACTAAGCTACCTTTTAAGGCTCTGGCTAATATCAAGTAAGAGCCGGTCAGGACAGGGAGATGGAGGGAAACTGATACTCAGTGTGTTTTGCCATTTATTTGTCACCCCAACCCAGCTTTTTGGTCCCATGTTATAAAAGGGGAAATGGGAGCTTGGAAAAGTTAAATGATTTTGCCAGAGCCAAAGATAGTAAATGGCCATGCTAAAATTCGAGCCTAGGATGTCAGAGACCAAGCCACAGATGACCTTAGCGCACTGCAGCTGCCAAATGGTGCCTGCAAAGTTACAGGCACAAATGTGTGGTTAGACATTTTCTTCAGATCTGCCTCTGCCTGCCAAAGGCAGCCCCACTGAGTCAGCCCAGCTCCGCCCTGCCCTTCATGAGCCCAGATGTGCCTTGTCTACCCCATCCCCAGTGCCAAGCCCCTGCCCCGCCCCTAGCTCCAGGTCTTAATCATAAAACTTTGGGGAAATAAGGTTAAGTGGTAACACCCCACCCTATGAATAGGCAGATCTGGCTGCCCTCTCCTGCCTGTTGGTCCTTGCAGAGAGCATGAACTCGTTCCTGAGAAAGAAAAGAGCAGCCTGGGAAGAACTCGTCCTTATTATTCCCACTGAAGCTGGGTGCCAAGGCCTCTCTCTTTGTGCCAATGCAAAGACTCTCAGGGCCTCTCCTGTCTGCATCCTAATCCTCCTCAGCATGCACTCAGGGTTAACTTCTTTCTTGATGCCTAAGCAAAAATTCTCTCAGATTTCCTCGTGAATCTCCCCTCTATCTCCTGCCCCTATTTGGTGAACCCTCACATAGGAGCAGTTGGGCAGTATTCAATATCCAAGAGGGCAAGAAAACCTAGCATGAACTTGGGAACAGAAGGGCTTAGTTGAATTCCAGCTCTGCAGATAAATAATTTAACCTCTCTAAATTGAACTAAAACCCCGCTAAACAAACAAAAAGAGAGAAAAAACAAAAGGTTCATAAATTGCTTAGCACAGAATCTGGAACAAAGTTGTGCCAATCAATGTTAGTGATATTTGTGCCTGGTGATGTTTCCACTCTAATTTGCCTGGTTTTATGGTGGTTGTATTCTGGGTTCCTCATTAATTCAGTCATTAATTTCACATTTATTGAACACTTACTATGTGCTGGCCACTATGTAAGCATTAGAGACACAAAGTTGGAAATAAGACATCTTTGCCTTTGAGGATCTTGTGCTCTGATAAGGATGAAGAGAAGTGGATAGTCAACTACAATATAATGTGGTAATTGTCCAGCTCTGCATCTCAGTTGATGGTGTTGCCATTGGGAAACCAAAAAGTCAGGGGTTAGAGAAGCGTTTAGCCTTCACAGAGGAGATTAACAACAAGAAACCAAAGTATATATAAGAAGATAGACCAGGAGAGAGAAAAATGGGACCCTAAGACCTGGCCTTTGGCAATTTTATACAGTAGAAGGTAGAAAACTAGCTGTTCCTGGCTATTTCCCCTAAGCCTCTATTAGGGTCCTTGGGGATTTAGCTCTAGGAGGTTTCTAAAATGATAATAGATTATTTTTATCAGAGCTGACTTTATGAGTAAGTGGAGTAGGTTGCTACCTACGTGTGTGTTCTGAGAGACACGGGGAGGTGCCTCAGCCACATATGAAAATGGCTCCTCACATCACTGTTCCTGAATATCTATTATTAGAGTCAGTCCTTAGGGACTCATTTAGCCCCCAGAATCTCCATTGAAAGGCACATAATCCAGGGGCAATGAGCCTTTGCCCTGGCTGTCCCCTGCTTAGGTTGCTCTTTTCCATATATTCAAATCCTAGCTGTCAGTCAGGGCCTGGTGCACTTCCTCAATGTTTGTTCCAGCCTACTCTGCTCTGATGCCCTATTCTTTGGGCTCTGTATTGCTGGTACATGTATTTGATCTAGCAGCCATGGCCTGTGTGGCTTCTTGGCTGGATTCTCTGTGTGTGTGTCCCCTCTCTTCCTGATTAGTCTATCAATTATCTACTGTTGCATGAAAAACCACCCCCAAACTTAGTAGCAACTATTGATTTACTCTTGACTAGGCTGGGATCAGTTGGGTGGCTCTTCTGCTGGTTGGCTTGATGTTTCTCATGCAGCTTCAGTCATCTGGAGGCTCCGCAGCGGTGGGAGGATCCCAGAGGGCTTCATTCACCTGTCTGACACCTCAGCTGAGGAGGTTAGAACAGGGAGGGGCTGATTGTCCCATCTCTCCATGTGGGGTCTCATCTTCCAGGGCCTCTCTACATGAGCCTCTGTCTCCAGCAGGGTAGCCTGGACTTTTTTACAGCATGGTGGCTGAATTCCAAAAGAGCGTATTTCAAGAAGTTGAGCCTCCGTATGCAAGAACTTTTCTACTTGTTTCATGTTTGTTAGTATCTCACTAGCCAAAGAAGTCACACAACAAATCCCCAAGTCATGGCCGGGCATGGTGGCTCGCGCCTGTAATCCCAACACTTTGGGAGGCTGAGGCAGACAGATCACAAGGTCAGGAGTTTGAGACCAGCCTGGCCAACATGTTGAAACCCTATCTCTACTAAAAATACAAAAACCAGCCGGGTGTGGTGGCAGGCTCCTGTAATCCCAGCTACTTGGGAGGCTGAGGCAGGAGAATCGCTTGAAACAGGAAGGTGGAAGTTGCAGTGAGCTGAGATCGCGCCATTGCACTCCAGCCTGGGCAACAAGAGCAAAACTCCATCTCAAAAAACAAAAACAAAAACAAAAACAAAACCCCAAGTCAATATGGGAAAGGTCTTCAAAAGGATATGACTAGCAGAATATGTGGTTTATTGGGGGCCATCAATGTTGACCACAGTTTATAAACACTTAGGGTAGAGATTGCCTCTTCTATTTTGGAAATGTTCACATTTACTAGCATTGTCTAGAGTATATAGGTAGGCACTCAATCAATATTTGTTGACTAAATAAATGAATGGCGGCCAGGCGCAGTGGCTCATGCCTGTAATCCCAGCACTTTGGGAGGCCAAGGCAGGCAGATCACAAGGTCAGGAGATTGAGACCATCCTGGCTAACACGGTGAAACCCCGTCTCTACTAAAAATACAAAAAATGAGCCGGGCGTGGTGGCGGGCACCTGTAGTCCCAGCTACTCGGGAGGCTGAGGCAGGAGAATGGCGTGAACCCAGGAGGCGGAGCTTGCAGTGAGCTGAGATCATGCCATTGCACTCCAGCCTGGGCGACAGAGTGAGATTCTGCCTCAAAAAAAAATAAAAATAAAAATAAATAAATAAATAAATGGCAAGTAGAGTTAACAGAAAGCAAAGCTCTGTAAGATGAGCCTTGCAGGCAAGAGCTGAAGGTTGCTCCATGAGGAAAGCAGAGGCCTGAGAGGAAACGTGGTTGAACATCAAAAACCAATAGGTGGGTTTTAGTGAATTTAACTAATGCCTTCCCTATTGATTTTGAGACTAGAAGAATGTAAGCAATAAATATCCTAAGAAACCAGAGTATGCTCAGCTCAGCACTGTATTAGGCCTCAGGGTGGATATGGAAGAAAACAAGGCCATCGAGGTTATTGAAGAAACCAGAAAAAGGACAGGAAAACTTAAATATTACAAGGCCTTGGCCCAGTGCAGTGGCTCACGCCTGTAATCCCAGCACTTTGGGAGGCTGAAGCGGGTAGATCACCTGAGGTCAGGAGTTTGAGACCAGCCTGGCTGGTGAAACCTCGTCTCTACTAAAAATACAAAAATTAGCCAGGCGTGGTGGAGCATGCCTGTAATCCAGCTACTCGGGAGGCTGAGGCAGGATAATCACTTGAACCTGGGAGACGGAGATTGCAGTGAACCAAGATCGCGCCACTGCACTCCAGCATAAGCTACAGAGTGAGACTCTGTCTCAAAAAAAAAAAAAAAAAAAAAATATATATATATATATATATATAAAAATGTATATTACAAGGCCTCATAATGTACTTAATTAACATAGTGCATGGCACATAAAAGACACTAAAACAATATTCTGGAAAGAAGGAAAATGATGTGGTCAGGAAATAAAAGATAGGTTACTTCAGGGTTCAGCAAACAATAAACCACAGGCCAAATCTGGCTTTCCATCTGTTTTTGTTTTTGTTTTTTTGGTTTTTTGGTTTTTTGGTTTTTTTTTAGATGGAGTCTCACTCTGTCACCCAGGCTGGAGTGCAGTGGCATGATCTCAGCTCACTGTAACCTCTGCCTCCTGGGTTCAAGTGATTCTTGTGTCTCAGCCTCCCGAGTAGCTGGGATTACAGGTGCACACCCCCACCACGCCCGGCTAATTTTTGTATTTTTAGTAGAGACAGGGTTTCACCATGTTGGCCAGAGTGGTCTCGAACTCCTGACCTCAAGTGATCCACCTGCCTTAGCCTCCCAAGTGCTGAGATTAGAGGCATGAGCCACCGCGCCTGGCTCCTCCATCTGGTTTTTTTTTTTTTTTGAGACGGAGTCTCTCTCTGTCACCAGGCTGGAGTACAATGGTGCAATCTCGGCTCACTGCAACCTCCGCCTCCCAGGTTCAAGCGATTCTCCTGCCTCAGTATCTTGAGTAGTTGGGACTACAGGTGCCCACCACCACGCCCAGCTAATTTTTGTATTTTTAGTAGAGACGGGGTTTCACCATGTTGGCCAGGATGGTCTCAATCTCTTGACCTCGTGATCCGCCAGCCTCAGCCTCCCAAAGTGCTGGGATTACAGGCATGAGCCACCGCACCAGGCCCCATCTGTTTTTTAAAAGAAAGTTTTATTGGAGCACAGCCATGCCCATTTATTTGCATATTGTCTATGGCTGCTTGTCCACTCTAACAGCAGAGTTAAGCAGTTACAACAAAGACCATAAGGCCTGCAAAGTCTAAAATATGTACTATCTGGCCCTTTACAGAAAAAGTTGCCAACCTCTAGGTTAGTCTAAAATTACTCTATCAGTGCTTCCTAGACTCAGTAGATCTGACACAGTTTTCCTTGATGGAGGAGAAGGGAGGTGAGTACAAGGTTAGATGGAAGATGAAACACTTTGTGCTCAAAACTGTGAATAGTTCTGGTCCTAGTGAAAAAATGTTTTTTGGGACCCCAGCAAGGAAAAATTTGTGTTGATACGTGTCAGATCCTGGGCCCCTGTTTAGATCAGTGGTCCAGGTAATTCCTCTCAACTTTCTCCCCATTCATTACCCTGTTTGCACAACCCCATCCACATTTTTGTCCTGATGTGGAGCAAGGTATCCAGATATTGCAGTTGGATAACAGGCAACCACTGACAAGGTAGATGCACTTTACATTCGAACATACATCGGGGTCCATAGGAGGAAATGGGAGCATCTAACTATGAAGACAAACAGCTTGATACCTTAAACCCTATTCCTTCACCTTACATGGGTCTCAAAGGTCATCTTGATCATTCCCCTCTAACTAGACTGAACTGATTTTATTTTTTTCTTAGTTCTATTTTTTTTTTAACATGGAGTCTCACTCTGTCACCCAGGCTGGAGTACAGTGGTGCAATCTCATCTCACTGCAACCTCCGCCTCCCAGGTTCAAGCGATTCTCCTGCCTCAGCCTCCTGAGTAGCAGGATTACAGGCTCCTGCCACCACACCCAGTTAATTTTTGTATTTTTAGTAGAGATGGGGTTTCACCATGTTGGCTAGGCTGGTCGCGAACTCTTGATCTCAAGTGATCCGCCTGCCTTGGCCTCCCAAAGTGCTAGGATTGTAGGTGTGAGCCACTACACCTGGCCTAGACTGGACTGATTTCAAATCATCTCCCAGATCTCTCTCTCTCTCTCTCACACACACACACACACACCTCCTACTGTACCCCACACCCACAGGCTTAAAAATAGCATAGCCTCTCTCCAGGGCTGACCTATCCAGATAGGCAGTGGGCACAGCGTGGAGAATATTTTAGGGGCCAATAAAAATGTTTTAATTTTGATTTCAAACCAGGAAAATACAAAGGATGTAATAAGAATGGATAGATAATAATGAATCCAGCTTGGATCATACTCATCTTTATACCAGTTATGTAAAATATAACTTAATATTTTCTTATGGAGGAAGGACCCATAAAAGGCACAAGTGCCGAGGGCTAGCAGAAGTTACAGTGCAGCCCTGACTTCCTTAAGTAACAGGTTTCAGGGTCCACAAACTTCCTGGAGACGGGATTTTTTTTTCCCCAAGGTGTCAGAATCCCTGCTTTGACCATGTCCTCCCTTGGCCCAATACTTTGGAGAAGTGAACACAGCTGCCTTTATCCTTTGAGTCAGGATAAAAAACAAAACAGCTCTCTGGGAAGGAAGTGGAGGCCTGCAGGTAGGGAAGAAGAGTGCTGGTGTCATTTCAACTGGCCCCAGGGCCTGGCGAAGTGGGACTGCACAGCCCAGTTCTGGGCAGAGCAGAACCTAACTCAGATCCTCCTGAATAAATATTGCTTCAGGCCCAAGTGTGTTGACTTAAGAAACCGTGGTTCCTTCCCCTTCCCTGGCAGTGCAGATTAATCTAGGGGAGCCGCCTCCAGCTGAGAGCTCTCCATGGAGTAAGTGCTGCTAGAGTTTGCTTTCAAGCTTTGGTCACTACTGATTTGCCACTTGGGCTCTAAAAAGCTTCATCTCTCAGGAGCCAAGGAGTTTGTTTGTTCATTAACCAGCTGCTTCAATTTGCCTCTAAAACTCAACTCCCCACCACACCCCCGCCCCACCGCAGTTCCCTTTGTTTCTGCCTCACAGTGTTTCTTTTTCTTTTTTTTTTTTTGTTGAGACGGGTTCTCACTCTGACGCCAGGCTGAAGTACAGTGGTGTGATCTCAGCTCACTGCAACCTCCGCCTCTTGGGTTCAAGCGATTCTCCTGCTTCAGCTTCCCAAGTAGCTGGGACTACAGGCGTGTGCCGCCACGCCTGGCTAATTTTTTGTATTTTTAGTAGAGGCGGGGTTTCACCATGTTAGCCAGGATGGTCTCGATCTCCTGACCTTGTGATCCGCCCGCCTCAGCCTCCCAAAGTGCTGGGATTACAGGCGTGAGCCACCGAACCCAGCCTACAGTGTTTCTTCTTAGAAGGGTAGGGAGAAATTTGTTTTCCTTAAAGTCAGAGCATGTGGTGTTAATTAAAATGCAACTTAAAATTTACCTCATCTTTGTTATGGGTTAAAATATATTCCCCCAACAAGATATGTTGAAGTCCTAACCTCTAGTACCTCAGAATGTGAACTTATCTGGGAATAGGGGCATTGCAGATGAATTCAAGTTAAGATGAGGTCATATTGGAGTAGGGTGGGCCCCATAATCCAGTACAACCAGTGTCCTTATAAAAAGAACAGGCAGGGCTGTTCTTTGGGAGGCCGAGGCGGGTGGATCACCTGAGGTCAGGAGTTCGAGACCAGCCTGACCAATATGGTGAAACCCTGTCTCTACTAAAAATACAAAAAAATTAGCCAGGTGTGGTGGCGTGTGCCTGTAATCCCAGCAACTCGGGAGGCTGAGACAGGAGAATTGCTTGAGTCCGGGAGGTGGAGCTTGCAGTGAGCCGAGATTGTGCCACTGCACTCCAGCCTGGGCGACAGAGCAAGACTCCGTCTCAAAAAAAAAAAAAAAAAAGAGAGAACAGGTAGACACACAGGGAGAAGGCAACCCCTGAAGACACAGGCAGAGATTAGAGCCATAACATGCCTGAGGCCACCAGAAGCTAGGACAAGGCAAGGAAGTATCCGCTACATTCTTCTAAGGGAGTATGGCCCTGCCAACACCTTCTAGCCTCCAGAACTCTGAGAGAATACATCTCTGATGCTTTAAGTCATCTGGTTTGTGGAACTTTGTTTGGAGATCCCTAGGAAACTAACAGAGCCTTCAAAACAAATAATCTGCACACAGCGGGAGCCTCAAAAATGGATGGACTGACATATAATAATCACACCAAGCTCTTGTACAATGTAAAAACTTTACTTCTCAAAATCGTTTTGTTAGCAACGGCTAATCTGTACAGGTCTGCAGCAACCTCAATTCTTGCCTCCTCAGAAAGAGTTCCACCAACGGGCGTAAGGCAGAGGGAGAAACTGAGGCAAGTTTTAGCATAGGAGTGAAAGTTTAAGTTTCAGAGCAGAGACCGGGCGCAGAGGCTCACGCCTGTAATCCCAGCACTTTGGGAGGCCGAGGTGGGTGGATCACGAGGTCAGGAGATAGAGACCATCCTGGCTAACACAGTGAAACCCCGTCTCTACTAAAAAGACAAAAAAATTAGCTGGGCATGGTGGCGGGCACCTGTAGTCCCAGCTACTCCAGAGGCTGATGCAGGAGAATGGCGTGAACCCAGGAGGTGGAGCTTGCCCTGAGCCGAGATCATGCCACTGTACTCCAGCCTGGGCAACAGAGCGAGACTCCATCTCAAAAAAAATAAATAAATAAAAAATAAATAAAAAAGTTTCAGAGCAGAAACAAAAGGAAGTACACTTGGAAGAGGGCCAAGCGGGTGACTTGAGAGATCCAAGTGCATGGTTTGACCTTTGACTTGGGATTTTATACCTTGGCATGCTTCTGGGGACCTTGCCCCTGATTCTTCCTTTGGGGTGGCTGTCTGCATGTGTAGTGGCCTGCTAGCACTTGGGAGGGCCGCATGTGTAGTGTGTTTACTGGAGCTAAACACATGTTCACTTGAGCATTCTTCCCTTACCAATCAAGTGTTCCCAGAGAAAGATCATATGCCAGTTGAACTTTGCCATTTTGGCTAGGTGTAGTGGCTCACGCCTATAATCCCAGCACTTTGGGAGGCCGAGGCAGGTGGATCACCTGAGATCAGGAGTTCAAGACCAGCCTGCCCAACATGGTGAAACCCTGTCTCTACTAAAAATAAAAAAAAAATTGGCCAGGCACGGTGGCTCACGCCTGTAATCCCAGCACTTTGGGAGGCCGAAGTGGGCAGATCACGAGGTCAGGAGATCGAGACCCTCCTGGCTAACATGGTGAAACCCCTTCTCTACTAAAAATACAAAAAACTAGCCAGGCGTGGTGGCAGGTGCCTGTAGTCCCAGCTACTCGGGAGGCTGAGGCAGGAGAATGGCGTAAACCTGGGAGGCGGAGCTTGCAGTGAGCTGAGATCACACCACTGCACTCCAGCCTGGGCGACAGAGCGAGACTCTGTCTCAAAAAAAAATTTTTTTAAATAAATAAATACATAATAAATAAAAAAATAGGCCAGGCGCAGTGGCTCACTCCTGTAATCCCAGCACTTTGGGAGGCAGAGGTGGGTGGATCACGAGGTCAGGAGATCGCGACCATCCTGGCCAACATGGTGAAACCCCGTCTCTACTAAAAAATACAAAAATTAGCCAGGCGCAGTGGTGTGTGCCTATAATCCCAGCTACTCAGGAGGCTGAGGCAGGAGAATAGCTTGAACCAGGGAGTCGGAGGTTGCAGTGAGCAGAGATCAAGCCATTGCACCCTAGCCTGGCAATAGAGCGAGACTCCGTCTCAAAAAAAAAAAAAAAAAAAAAAAAAAAATTAGCCAGACATGGTGGCGGTTTCCTATAGTCCCAGCCACTCTGGAGGCTGAGGCAAGAGAATTGCTCGAACCTGGGAGGCGGGGGTTGCCGTGAGCCCAGATCACACCACTGCACTCCAGCCTGGGTGACAGAGCGAGACTCCCTCTCAAAAAAAACAAAAAAAAAAAACTCCGTCAATTTAACTCTTAGTGCTCATGCTTGAGCCCACTCACCCACCTCCTGAGATCTTATCAGGAAGCTGCTGATCACCAGTTTCAGGTATTTCTATTGGGAGACTGCCCTTACCTGGTGCGGCTGCGACCAATTATCATCTGAGAGAGACAGCTTAACACCTGCCTGACCATCACCTGATGATCACCTGACTTTCCTGGTGGGGGTGGGGGACAGTTCTGCCTGCTCATGTCTGTTCGGCTACCTACTGTAAAACTTTCATCTCCATTATCTCATTTTAGCCTCGTGATTACTTGGTGACACAGGGCAGATTTCATGATCCCCCATTTTACGGAAGCAAAATATGAAGCTCAGGATATAAAATCACTTACCCCAATCATACCTTTAGTATCTCTGTGGCTTAGAAGAATACAACTAGTAACAGAAATTCAAATCTAGCTTTGTTCCTGACTAGATGTATATGGTCTTTAGTGAGTTACCTAAACCTATAGTATCCAAACTTTGTGATTTCAAGTATAGTTATTATTTTATTTTATTTTTTATTTTTTTTGAGACGGAGTCTCACTCTGTCACCCAGGCTGGAGTACAGTGGCACCATCTGGGCTCACTGCAACCTCCGCCTTCCAGGCTCCAGTGATTCTCCTGCCTCAGCCTCCTGAGTAGCTGGGACTACAGGTGCAGGCCACCACGCCTGGCTAATTTTTGTATTTTTAGTAGAGAGGGGGTTTAGTCATTACTTTCTTTACAAAGAGCTTTAGGCCAGGCACAGTGGCTCATGCCTGTAATCCCAGCACTTTGGAAGGCCGAGGTGGGTGGATCACCTGAGGTCAGAAGTTTGCCACCAGCCTGGCCAACATGGTGAAACCTTGTCTCTACCAAAAATACAAAAATTATCTGGGCGTGGTGGTGGGTGCCTGTAATCCCAGCTACTCGGAAGGCTGAGGCAGGAGAATCGCTTGGACCCGGGAGGCGGAGGTTGCAGTGAGCCGAGATCACGCCACTGCACTCCAGCCTGGGAGATAAGAGCGAGGCTCCATCTCAAAAAAAATAAAAAAAGAGAGAGAGCTTTAAAAATCAGCTACCATCTATGATCAACATCACTGCACAAAAGAAATGCCATTTTAATATTAAGAACAAGGAAGACCATGATATCAAAATTAAGAGCTCATCTTTTAAATTAAATAAATTCCGTTTGTTTTATTCAGTTTATTCTAAAAATAAAAAGAGACTACTTTGTCCTTATTTTCATTTTTTGGAAGACTGACAAATATTCCTGTTGATTTTCTTCTATCTCTTAACATTTTATGACGATCTGACTCAAGCTCCGATTCTCTTTCCACTAACACAGCTGGAAATGGGAACCCATGGGTTTGGGTGGTAAAGGCCAGAATGCTCTAATTAGAGAAGCAGGCTGGATGAATGTCCAGGTTCTGTTCTGAAACCACACCATCCCCTGTGCCCTGATAAATCAACCAACAGTTGTTTTGGTAGCCCCAGATAAGCAGCGGGAAGAGCTGACTTCCTCTTAGAAAATGACTCCTTTGTATTTCTGGCAAAACAGCTTGGGATTTGATGTGCAAACTGCAGCCTGTTCTCTCCTGGTACCTTCTGCTATCAGGCCAGTCATGACTGGCTTGGCTTTCACCCTGAGTGAAGAGCTACTGGGTCCATCGGGCTGTTTGCTCCCTGCCTACTGCTGTTCCAGGTCACAGTTTGGAAAAATAGCTTGGAGAATCCAATGCTTCTACAAGAGGCTCCCTGCCACTGGGCTCAACCAGGAGCTTGCTTGTGAGCCACAGCTAGTCAATGACTTTACTATTATGAATGATAAAAATAAACATCTTTTGCACATCTTTTAAAGTAGTTTTTAAAACCCACTATCTTTTTAGGATAACATCAATGCTCAGGGAAATCTTCATGAAAGAATAAGAGATAGAACTGGTTTACCCTGAAAAATGAATGGTATTTGGAAGGAAGTTGGAATGGGAGGATGGGAATAGGGTGTGGAGGGCAGAAGGTGCAGGGACACACAGGAGCTGAGGAAAGGCATGAAGGGAGGAATACTGAATTCTCATGAGGAGAAGAGGGGGCGAGGTGCAATGGCTCATGCCTGTAATCTGAACACTTTGGGAGGCCGAGGCAGGAGGATCACTGGAGGCTGGAGTTTGAGACCAGCCTGGCCAACATAGCAAGGCCTTGTCTCTAAAAAATAAAAATTACCTGGGTGTGGTAGCACACTCCTATAGTCTTAGCTACTCAGGAGGCTGAGATGAGAGGATTGCTTGAGCCCAGGAGTTCCAGGCTGCAGTTAACCATGATCGCACCACTGTACTCCAGCTTGGGCAACGGACAGACCCTGTCTCTAAAAAAGGGGGGTTAAAAAAAAGGAGAAGAGAGAATGAACTGGTATGGGCCAGATGTGTGATCTCTCAAGCTTTTGAGGAGGACAGACTTGGTCAAACCCTAGCTCAACCACTTACTGGTGCTATTACCTCCACCCTCCACCTCCTGCCCCTCATTGTGAGGGAAAGCTCTTTGAGGCCAGAAATGTTAAGTGATCATGAGGAGTAGGGAAACGCCAGAAACATAATGAGTCTGACAGGGATTCTTCCTATTAAAAAGTTATTCAGGGAAATAGAAATAGTCAAACTACCTCCACCCTCTCTGTCCTTTGATCTGGGTGTTTCTATCCCCTCCTTTTCCTTGAGAGAGGTTTCAAGGTTTAAAAAAAAAAAAAATCCATGGACATCAATAGGTCTTCAGACAAATTTGATCCCTCTAAGGCAGTTTGACCAAACCACCAAGCCAAGAAACAGTCCCTCTCCCTTGCTCTCAGGCAGGGACATAATAAGGGCTAAGGAAGTGACCTCCTTTCAGGAAGTAGGTGGACATATGACCTAAAATTCAACCCTTCTCTTCTTGGAAGGAACTTATCATCTAAAGGAGAAAAGCTTTAAAATGTGCTCCCTTTTCAGTGCAGAAGGAAAGAAGGAGTGGGAGAAAGAATTTACTGTCCTGCAGTAGTATTTAGAATATAGAGGAAAAATATTTTCTAAAAATGGACAACCTGAGTGAAGAGTTTGTAGCTTTAAAGATACCTTTCCCTGGAAGTTTTAGCCTCTACTTTTTTAATTGTCCCAGTTGGAAACCTGGGGAGATTTTTATCATCTGTGAGGTCGAGCTGTTTATTTATTTACTATATTTTTCCCATCACCTCCTGTTGCAACTGCTGCAATTCATACTGGGTGGTGTGTGAGGAGATGAGGCTGGGATTAAGAGGGGAAAGATTGGCAAGGAAGCCAACCTATGAAACAGAGAAAGATTGGGGCACACTGCTAAATGAAAGTGTATTTGACTTTCCATGACTTTATTTAAATTTGCATTTTTTTATTATGAAAATAATATATGTGGCCAGGAAGGGTGCCTCAAACATGTAATCCCAGCAATTTGGGAGGCCAAGGTGGGTGGAGCACTTGAGGTCAGGAGTTCGAGACCAGCCTGGGCAATATGGTGAAAGCTCATCTCTACTAAAAATACAAAAATTAGCTGGGTGAGTTGGTGCACACCTGTAATCCCAGCTACTTAGGAGGCTGAGGCATGAGAATCGCTTGAACCCAGGAGGTGGAGGTTGCAGTGAGGTGAGATTGTGGCACTGCGTTCCAGCCTGGGCAACAGAGCAAGACTCAGTCTTAAAAAAAAAAAAAAAAGACAGAAAAGAAAAGAAAACCTGAAAATAATATTTGCACCTATTCAAATTTCTATTTTGTGATGATTAATTTTATGGGTCAACTTGAATGGGCCATGGGGTGCCCAGATATTTGGTTGAATATTATTCTGGGTTTGTTTGTGAGGGTGTTTCTGGATGAGATTAACATTTGAGTCAGTACACTGAGTCGAGTAGGCTACCCTCCATCATGCAGGTGGTCCTTGTTTAATTAATAAAAGGCCTGAATAGAACAAAAAGGCTGACCCTCTTGCAAGTCAGAGGGAATGCCTCTTGTTTGGCTGCTTGAACTGGAGCATCAATCTTTTCCTGCTTTTGGACTTGAATTGAAATATTGGCTTTTATTGAGTCTTGAGCCTTGAGCCTGCCAGCTTTTGGACTACAATTATGTCATCAGCTTTCCTAGGGAATGTTATGGACTGAATTGTGTCCCCCTAAAATTCATATGTTGAAGATCTAATTCCCAATGTGACTGCACTTTGAGATAGGGCTCTTAGGAGGAGATTAAGATTAAATTAAGTCAGAGGGTGGGGTTCTAATTGGACAGGATTGGTGGCCTTATAAGAAGAAGGGAGAGAGAGAAATCTTTCTCTCTCTCTCTGCCATGTGAAGACACAGCAAGAAGGTGGCTGTCTGTAAGCCAGGAAGAGAGCCCTCACCAGAAAACCATACTGGCACCCTAACCTCAGACTTCCAAACTCTAGAACTCTGAGAAAATTGTTCTGTTGTTTAAGCCACCCAGTCTGTTGTATCTTGTTATGGCAGCCCAAGCTGACTAATACACATTTTATTACCCCATGTAATAAAAGTAATTTAAGTACCCAGTGTAAAATAAATATAAATGCCTAGTGTAGAATTGTTCTCTTCCTCAGATAAGACCATGGTAAGCAGCTCCTTGTACATTTTTATAAAAAGTATGTATGCATATATAAGAATGTATCTTTTCTGTAAAAACAAAACAAAACAAAACAACACAACACAACACATACAGAATCATGCTATACATACTGTTATACATCTTGCTTTCTTCACCTAAAAATCTTCTTTGGCGATCACTCTTTATCAGTAGTATGATCATATGTCCCAGTTTGCCTGGGCCAGTCCTGGTTTACAGTTTTTGTCCCAGTGTAATTATCAGTAGAATCCCTTCCCACTCTCAAAAGAATCCTGGTTTGGATAAATCTCATAGTCACTCTATTTATCAGGCAAAATGAATCTGCCTTTTTGCTTTTAGTAAGTTTCATGGAATGGCGTATCACAGATACGTCAACTGTAACTAAATCATCTATTTATGAATAGTTATTCCTAGTTTTTTTTTTGTTTTTTTTTTTTTATGGAGGCTTGCTCTCTCCCAGGCTGAAGTGCAGTGGCATGACCTCTGCAACCTCTGCCTCCCAGTTTCAAGTGATTCTTGTGCCTCAGCCTCCGGAATAGGTGGGATTACAGGGGCCTGCCACTAGGCCCAGCTAATTTTTGTATTTTTAGTAGAGACGGGGTTTTGCCAGGTTGCCCAGGCTGGTCTCAAACTCTTGGGCTCAAGCGATCCACCCACCTCGGCCTCCCAAAGTTCTGGGATTACAGGCGTGAGCCACCTTGCCTGGCCCTTAGTTTTTAACTATTACAAAGAATTCAGCAGGGAGCCTCCTTCCTCATTCCCTTGAACCCCTGTGAGAGCACATGTGGAAGGCAAATTCTAGCAGTGAAAATTTCTGGGTCAAGAGTTTGTGCCTTTTACACTTTTCTGTAAAATAATATTATTTATTTATTTATTTATTTATTTATTTATTTATTTATTGAGATAGAGTCTCACTCTGTTGCCCAGGCTGGAGTGCAGTGGCAAAATCTTGGCTCACTACAACCTTTGCCTCCTGGGTTCAGGTGATTCTCCTGCCTCAGCCCCTCGAGTAGCTTGGACCACAGGCGTGCGCCACCACGCCGTGCTCATTTTTTTTTTATTTTTAGTAGAGATGGGTTTCCGCATGTTGGCCAGGCTGGTCTTGAACTCCCGACCTCAAATTATCCGTCCACCTTGGCCTCCCAAGTGCTGAGATTACAGTCATGAGCCACCACCCTAGGCCAAAATAATATTTTTATTTACTTTTTAATTGAAGTGTAATACGGCAGATCTTCAAACAATGTTGTTGTTTCATTATAACATTGATGAGAATAAAATGGATTCCCTGCTGGGGCTGCTGTCTGTGTGGAATTTGCATGTTTCCCCCATGTCTGCGTGGTTTTCTCCGGGTATTCCGGTTTCCTCCCACATCCCAAAGCTGTACCCGTGATGCTCATTGGTGTGCCTCAATGGTCCCAGTCTGAGTGAGAGTGGGTGTGTGTGTGAGTGTGTCCTGCGATAGGATGGTGTCCTGGCCAGGATGGGTTCCTGCCTTGTACCCCAAGCTGCCGGGATGGGCTCTGGCAACCAGAGATCCTGAACTGGAATAAGCGGGTAAATAGTGATCGTACTTGATTTTATTAATCTTCCTTAAATGTACTTATATGTAGCTCACATTTATTTAAACATTTCATATTAGAAGTGTTTTTGTCTTTATTTAGAAGCTGTTTCTGCGACCAGAAATATGCCGAAGGAACTTAACTCTTGTTTATACCCATTAGCCTATGGTAAAATTGGTTTCACCTAAAGTCTCAGTTTCCAAGAACCTACCGGGGAAGTTGTAAAGACTTACTGCATTTCATTGTATGACTATGCCAATTTATTCATCCACCATTGACATTTTGAACTCTAGCCAAATTCTTCTTCATGTGGGAGGAACTTCAGGCAGAGGAGCCAACCCAGGTGAACCAACCCAGATAGCTCTGCACACCTGCCTCACTCAGAGCCCAGGTCCTCCCACAGCTCTTTGGACGGATCAGGTCATTGCCCTCCTCACACAGTTCCAGTAGATTTCCTGCCTGGCTCCTTTCCTTCTCCTGAGGGTACCAAGCCCTCTTCCTCCAGAACGCATTGGCTGACTCTTCCACCACCGTGCCCACGGCGGGAGGGAACTTCTGGGGATCCCCACAGCATTCCCTACTTCTCATGTCCCTGCACACATCACTTGGAATTGTAATCCCTTCTTTAATTCCCATATTTCCAGTTGGACTGTATTTATTTCCTATTGCTACTATGAGAAGTTACCACAAAGTCAGTGGATTAGAAAGTATACATTTAATGTTCTATAGTTCTAGAGGTCAGAAGTCTGAAATGATTCTCACTGGGCTAAAATCATGGTGTCAGGTGTTCCTTCTGGAGGCTCTAGGGGAGAAACTTTTCTTGCCTTTTCTGGCCTTTAGAGACTGCCCTTGTTCCTAGGTTCCCTGGCCATCTTCAAAGCCATCAGTGGCTGATCAAGTCTTTCTCATATCACATCATTTTAACACTGAACTTCCATGTTTAAGGATCCTGTGATCCCACTGGGCCCGCCTGGATAATCCAGGATAATCTCCTGATTTTTTTTTTTTTTTTTTTTTTTTTTGAGGCAGGGTCTCACTCTATCGCCCAGGCTGGAGTGCTTGTGGCACAATTACGGCTCACTGAAGCCTTGACCTCCTGAGCTCAAGCAATCCTCCCATCTCAGCCTCTCAAGTAAGTGGGACTACAGGCACGTGCCACCATGCCTGGTTAATTTTTTTAAAAAAATTTGCAGAAACGAGGTCTCACTATGTTGCCTAGCTGGTCACGGAACTCCTGACCTCGCGGGATCCTCCCACCTCAGCCTCCCAAAGTGCTATGATTACAAGTATGAGCCACCACACTCAGCCAATCTCCCTATTTCAAAGTCAGTTAATTAGCAACCTTAGTTCTGCTTATAATCTAAATTCCCCCTTGCCATGTAGCATAGCAAAGTCATAGCATCTGAGGATAAGAATGTGTACGTCTCCAGGAGCCATTATTCTGCTTACCACAGACTCCAAGCTCTGTGAGGACAGAAATTATATCTCACTTTTTTTTAAGATGGAGTCTTGCTCTGTCGCCCAGGCTGAAGTGCAGTGGAGCGATCTCAGCTCACTACAACCTCCACCTCCCAGGTTCAAGCAATTCTCCTGCCTCAGCCTCCCAAGAAGATGGGATTACAGGTGTGCACCACCATGCCTGGCTAACTTTTGTATTTTTAGTAGAGGCAGGGTTTCACCATTTTGGCCAGACTAGTCTCGACCTCCTGACCTCAAGTGATCCACCTGCCTTGGCCTCCCAAAGTGCCGGCATTATCGGCGTGAGCCACTGCGCCTGGCCTATATCTCACTTCTGTTATACCTGCTTCATGTCTGTGCATTTCTTTCAGGTCAGGTAAAGAATCCTACCCTAGTTCTCTGCCAGATGGCACACTGCTATCTACTTATCAAAGCAGGCAAAGAAACCTCACTGTGGCTGTGAAAAAGGTGTTTTCCCGCAACCAGTCCTCTCACCAGCTGCAGACTCTTTTTCTAACAACATCATTTTTAGCCTGAGAATGTTGAAGACAGGGACAGTTACAGGTGTCTTTCAGGGCAAGAACCACGTCATTCATCTGCGTGTTGCCTATCACAGGGCCTGGTACACTTTCAGAACTCAATGCTTGTATGTTGAGTGGGTAGAGGTGGAGCCAGAGTCCAACTGGGGCGGCCAAGCTGATAACAAGGTGACCAGTAGGTCACTGGGTCAGAGATCTAGAGCCCAGTTGGGGTGGCTCCTGTGTGACCACAAACTTCTGAGGCATACAATACTGTCAATCAGACTACCAGGGAGCCAGGTGGCCTTGGATTTGGTGAATCAGGCCAGGCAGGAAGTCAGCAGCAGGCAGACAAGGCAGTGCCCACATAGGCACCAAGAGAGGGGTTGGGGCCAAGTGGGTTCAAGAACCTGGTGTGAGTAGAAGCTGAAATGGAAGGGGCACATCAGAAACCTGCAGGAGAAAAGGAGCAACTTAACCAGAGGCAGCTTCCTGCACCATGACCCAGTACTGATATTGTCCTCTGCAGTGAGAATCAGCTCAGCTTAGCCACAGGCTCATGGGCCACAGCATGTGAGCGTGAGCAACAGCTGTGAGGGTCTCTGGTAGGCAGACTCTGAAACCAGAGGTGAGCTGAAAACAGTCACTTCAACAAGCAACAGTCACAGTAGATACGAAACTGAATAGGACAGTCACCACCCTTGGGAAGCTCATGGTCTAGCGCAACAGTCAGGCACCAAAAAACAATCTCATATATGGTGGTAAATGAGAACAAAAGGCTACCAGACTGAAAGCTTTAAAAAAAAAAAAAAGAAAAGAAAAGAAAAAAAAAAAAGGCCGGGCACGGTGGCTCATGCCTGTAATCCCAGCACTTTGGGAGGCCGAGGCGGGTGGATCATGAGGTCAGGAGATCGAGACCATCCTGGCTAACACGGTGAAACCCCGTCTCTACTAAAAAATACAAAAAATTAGCAGGGTGGGGCGGTGGGCACCTGTAGTCCCAGCTACACGGGAGGCTGAGGCAGGAGAATGGCGTGAACCCGGGAGGCGGAACTTGTAGTGAGCCGAGATTGCGCCACTGCACTCCAGCCTGGGCGACAGAGCCAGACTCCGTCTCAAAAAAATGAAGTAATTAATTTTAAAAAAAAGTCTCTTTTATCCTTTCCAATAATGCTTTGTGGTAGATATTATTTCTTCCACTTCATAGACAAGAAATGTGAGGCTCAGAGAGGATAAATAGCTTGCCCAAGGTCACACAGCTGTGTGTAGATCCAGTTTACAAACTCAGGTTTCTGTTACTCAAAAGTCCACACATCTCAGCTCTGAAGCTGAAGCTGTTTTTCTCTATCGCTGGGCATGTAGTAGGTATTCAGCAAATGACTCCTTTGAAGTAGATTTAGTTCTCATGCTCCTGTACTCTCCATGCATTTCTATTATAACTCTATTCTAGTCCCAAGCACTTGGTAGAATAAATATATTTCATTCATTCCAAACAGGCCTTAAAGTAGGATAATTTTGTGTTTCTGAGTGACAGGGACTATACCCTACCAACTTTTTTTTTTTTTTTTTTTTTGAGACGAGTTTCACTGTTGTTGCCCAGGCTGGAGTGCAATGGCGCGATCTTGGCTCACTGCAACCTTTGCCTTCCAGGCTCAAGCGATTCTCCTGCCTCAGCCCCCCGAGTAGCTGGGATTACAGGCGCCGGCCACCATGCCCTCTTGTTCGTTTGTTTGTTTGTATTTTTAGTAGAGACAGGGTTTCGCCATGTTGGCCAGGCTTGTCTCGAACTCCCGACCTCAGGTGATACACCCGCCTTGACCTTCCAAAGTGCTGGGATTACAGGCGTGAGCCACCGCGCCCGGCCCCCTACCAACTTTTTACCCTAACATACAGTAAGTGTTAACACCTGTGAGTGTGAGTGTGAGTGTGTGAAGGTTAACCTGGAAGCATTGTGCTTGATGGCCTAGAAAGGGAACAAAGAAAATCTTGGCTGCAATGGTCAGGGCTATTTTATTCTTCCCAGTACTAGTAGTGCCTGGCACATTAGAAGTGCTCACACACATTGGCTGAATAAATGAAGAATCCTGCATTCATTCACCCTAGTTCTAGCTGTAACAATAGAATCCTATTCACTCTGGGTAGTTCTAGAGCCAGTTAGAGATATTGTATTGCATTCTGGAGACCCTCCAAGTCCAAGGAATTTCACCGTGTCTACAGAATACCCCTGTCTCCAAAGAAACTACATTTCAGTTCCAAGTAGTTGTACCACAGTCATAAACACAACCACAAAGGAGAAATGGAAACAAACCACCAAAACACTGTGACTGGGAGGCCCAACTCCTCTCAACCACTGAAGAGCAGTTTCTAAACAAACACAAAGGGAATTGTACCTGCTCTGGGTCCTGCCAAAAGAATAGAAAGCAAACCCAAGAAAGTCAGACTGGCACCAAGTGAGAACCCAACAGGGCCAAATAGGAAGCTCACTGGGGGAGGAGAGATGCCAGGATTAGTGGTGGTAGGAGGTTGACCTAATTCCACTGTGTTCAAGGGATATTACTGCCTGGTCCAATGAGTCATACAGCTCAGGCATGTCATATCATTTTAACCACAGATAATAAGAATAACAACCTCCTTTTATTGAGTGATTACTAAGTACCGGCCCTATGCTAAGCACTCTTTACACATTAGCTCACTTTTGCTAAGACTGGGCAGGGAGGTAATCAAGTCGCAGGAGTCATCCAGGTAGGCAAAAGAAATATGAAGGCAAGCGCACCACCAAGGCTGAGGACAGGAAATTTGGATGTTGACAGACAAGTGTCTGCCCCACCTCTAATTCGTTAAGCTGATGATTCCCAAACACACATCGGAGTAAACTGGGAAAGTTTTCAAAAGACAGCTTTCTGAGTCCCCCTCAGACTCACTGAATCAGAATTTCTAAGGACAAGGCCCAGAAATCCATATTTTTATCTATATTTTTAAAATCTATATTTAAAAATCCCAATTTAAAAAAAAAACCACCCTGAATTCACACTTGTGAATATCCCACATACACGTGGGCCCTTAAAGAAAGTGCAGATGCTAAAATAACCCAGGACCCTACATTGGCTTATTCCCAAACTGCTTTCATTTAGTCCCAGCTCTACTGGGTCTCAAATCCATGGCTCTAAAACCCTAGACATTCTTTGGGCCTGTGGACAGGTGTTTCTCAGGCTTTGCATCTGAGTTAGTCCCCAAATCCTTAGGATTAACTTGACTCCTGGGCATTTTGTGCCACTATAGGTGGTTACGTCCTCCCACCCCAGACATTTGCATCTAAACAAGCAGTGCCAGAGCCCTGTTAGTGAGGATGAGTAGGGGACACTTGGACCCAGGATACCAGCAATGAGACCATCATACAGAAGGATGAGTGTCCTGCAAGACCTGGCCCAACTAAAAGCCTCATAGCTATTGCCTGTTAGGGGAGGAATGAGTCTCTTAGCAGTCCCTGAGCACACATTGAAAAAGGATGCAAGTGAGGCGGCGAATGAGGGGTCTGAGCTTGAAGGTAGCCCTAGGACCTCCTCAACAGGCTCCCAGGTTCTGAATCCTGTTCACGAATCTTCCTTCTCCTGCATCAAGAACCATCTCCACCAACCCCCATCTCTGGTCTTTACCACAGGAAAACACCTCTGCTCAATCCTGGCAACCATCCACCACCCACAGACAAAAATAGACCAGCTGGCCTCTGCAAGCACGTTGCTTTCACTGATGAGAAACAAACACCCATTTAGTTTACTTTCTCTTCAAAAGTCCAGGAAGCCTCTTGACAGAAGATACTGGGAAGTTTTAGTGAAGGCCAAGGGCTTAAGTTTTGAAACCTAAACCATTTGACAGGCCCCGTGAAGGTGAAACTTATGGTCACATTGAAGCTCTTGCACTTTGAGTCTCATTTGCTAAATGTAGTAAGGCATTCATCGGGGTCTCTGAGACGCAGAAAAAAATGTAACGACAGTGAGGCATATGTGTGCTTCACGCAAGAAAGAACTTTTTTTTTTTTTTTTTTTTGAGACAGAGTTGCCCTCTTTTACCCAGGCTGGAGTGCAGTGGCACAATCTCAGCTCACTGCAACCTCATCCTTCCAGGTTCAAGCAATTCTCCTGCCTCAGCCTCCCAAGTAGCTGGGATTACAGGCGTGCTCCACGACACCCAGCTAATTTTTGTATTTTTTACAGGGTTTCACCATGTTGGCCAGGCTGGTCTTGAACTCCTAGCCTTGGGTGATTCACCCGCCTCAGCCTCCCAAAGTGCTGGGATTACAGGCATGAGCCACTATGCCCGACATGAAAGAACTTTCTAATGGAGTTGACCATCAGGAGAAGAGTCTGCCTGGGAGATGTGAGATCATTTCCATTGGATGTGACTCTAATTATCTATCAGCCATGCCATAGGTGTGAGGTTGGACCAAGAGAACCTTTAAGATATCTTCCAAGCTCTAACTCTACGACTCTGTAATCATTATCACCATAAACTGGGCACCTTTTCCACAAGGGGCTTGTGTAAAATGTGGAACAATCAACTTGGAAAAGGCCTATTCAAGAATCAGAACTTCTTGTGTTCTGAGGGATATTCCTACAAATCTCCGAGGACATAATAACTTACCAATATATAGTCTAGGAATATTTCTGAATGTTTCAGTCACTGAGAGTCCAGGAAGCCTCTCTTCTGGACAGTGTCTGCTAATTAGCTCCCTTGTTGAAATAGTCTGTATCCACCACCAAACACCCTGAGAGTGCTATCCTTTCCTGATGGATACATTATAGTTTATTTCTGAAATAGTTTATCTCTCAAATCTCTCTCTAACTCACACCTCTCCCCTGCTTAGATTGTTCCAATCAGTTGGACATTTTATTTGTATTTCAAACTACCTACACTTGAATATCTGTTAGACATTTTAAACTGAAAATACCCCAAACTCGTCTTCTGCCACCAAACTTGCTCCTCCCACCAAACTTGCTCCTCCCACAGTCTTGCCTGTTTCAATTAATGGCAACTCTATCCTTTCAATATGCTGGGACAAAAACCTTGGAGTCATTTGCGACTTATTTTACACCTTATAGCCAGTCTTTCAGAAAAACCTGTTGTTCCTACTTTCAAAATATATTCAGATTATGACCACTTCTCATCACCTGCACTGCTGCCACCTGGTCTAAGGCCATGGTTCTCTCTCACCGAGATTACCACAGTAACGTTTTCAACTCATCTCTCTGCTTCCATCTTTCAGTCTTTCTCAGCACAGGATCCAGAGTAGGGTGATGGAAATGTACTATATGGCTATTGTGGTGGTGGTTACATGACTCCATACATTTGTGAAAACTCATCAAATGGTACTCTTAAAATTGACAAATTTTATTATATACAAATTATATTGCAAGGCCAGCCATGGTAGCTCATGCCTATAATCCCAGCACTTTGGAAAGCCAAGGTGGAAAGATCGCTTGAGCCCAGGAGTCTGAGGCCAGCCTGGGCAATATAGTAAGACCCTGTCTCTACAAAAAATAAAAAAATAAAAAATTAGCCAGACGTGGTGGTGTGTGCCTATAGTCCCAGCTACTTAGGGGGCTGAGGTGGGAGAATTGCTTGAGCCTAGGAGGTCAAGGCTGCAGTGAGATATGATTGTGCCACTGCACTCCAGCCTGGGCAACAGAGCAAGACCCTGTCTCAAAAAAATTGTATTGCAATAAAGATTAAAAATGCAAATTAGATTATGTCATTTATTGGATCAAAACCATAAAAAATGGATTCCCATTTCATTCAGAGTATAATCCAGAGTTCTTACAATGGCCTTCAAGGTCCTGTTTAATCTATTACCCCATTAGCTGTCTGACCTCACCTCCTTTTCGCTCACTTAGCTCTACCACACTGGCCTACTCATTGTTCTTCTGTCATACCAGGAACACACCCACCTCAGGATCTTGTATGTGTTTACCTGTCTAGAACACTCTTGTTCTAGTTATTATCTGCATCCTTGATCCTTCTTCTTACAGTATTTTTTAAATTGTCACCTTCATAGCGAGGCTTTCCTAGACCATCCTATTTATCCACTCTGCCTTTTAATTATAGTGTTAAGACCATTTATATTTAATGTAATTATTGACACAGTTGATGTCCACTATCGTGCTATTTATTTTCAATTTAGCCTATCTGTTCTCTGTTCCTCTTGCCTCTTTTCCTGCTTTCTTTTGTATAAAGCAAGAAGAAAATGTTCAGGGTTTCATTTTATCTCCTCTATTGACTCTTGAGCTAGTTCACGTGGTTTTTGTTTGTTTGTTTTAGTGGTTGCTTTGGAAGTTATAATATGCATCCATCACTTACCACAGGCATATCTTGAAGTAAGATTATACCACTTCATGTATAAGGTAAGAAACATAAAACAACATACTTATATTTATTCCCCTTCTGGTCTTTTTTCTATTGCTATAATGCCTTTTATTATTTCTACATATATTATAAACTCCACAAATTATTGTTAACTTTTGGTTAAAATTCAATTGTATAGACTCACGGATTCCTATTTTATTCAGTGATACGATCTATTACTGTTATTATTATTATTTTTTTAGTCTTCAAATCATCCCAGATTGAGCCATTGGGAATCCCTTTAAGTTACTTCTTGTGTCTTTTTGATATGTCCCCCATCATTCTTTGAGGACTTTGTTACTTCTGGTAGCAGGTTCCATGCTCATTTTATACTTCTCTGCCCTTCCCCTGAAATCAGCCATTTCTCCAAGGAGACTTGATTCTTTTTGTGAAAAGTGATATTCACAAAGCAGGATCTAGGTACTAGTGTAGTGCTCATTGCTACTACAGTATCATTCATTACTTCTAGGCCCCTGTCCTCTCAGTGGACAGAGCTGGGAAATGTACATATGTATATACTCACATATATGTACACATGCACACCTGTATCTGTTTCTATAACTATCTACTAAAAACCATGAGCCCTCACCAATGCCTCCAATTCCAATCCAACATCACAGGGTTTATTTTAGCCTTCCCCTTTCCATTTTTGTCTTTTTAATTTTAACTTTTATTTCCTTTGGTGCTCCTCAGCAGGACCCTTTCCATATTTGTAACTCTCTTCATTCACAGTGAGAGAATCAGCTTTCATTATCCTCTGTACATTTATATATTTGCCCAATCTTCCTGGATGTAACCAGTATTCTGGCCACTCTGGAGCCAGTCCTTGGTTCTGCTGCCCCACTGATTCCCACCAGTGACATCAGGACTAAATTCTTCCCTCACTAATTGCTGCTGGCCATGCTGGAGCCAAAGCCTAGACCCTGATGAAGGGCCCAGTAGCCTTGGTGAAGAAGCAGGAGGAATGTCAGGATTAATCACAGCTGATAATCTGTAAACCAGATGTGACAGGAAGATGAGGGAGCTTGGATACCGAGAATGCCAGAAAATATGCCATGGGTTTCAGGCGGGTTGTACAAGAAAAATGTGCCAGGAGATGCACCGAGTTGGTAGAAAATGGAGGAGTGGAAGTGCTGGAGATCTTGATAAAATCGAAGAATAGGTATGGTTAGGATGAAGCTATCTGGAGGACACAGCCACTTCCAAATAGCTGGCCAAATCCCTGATTATATCTTCACATGAACTGGGCTACAGAGAGACCCAATTCCACTGGAACTTTTATTATCAAGTGGGTCACATCCGGGAGAATTGCCATTAAGCAGACATTTTTCCAAACAGGGATTACAGGTGCTTCCCCTCCAGTAAATTAAACCCCTAATAGCAGAAGTAAAGGAAGCACATGTACACTCACACACAGACTGAATATAATACTGGCCCCCAATCAAAAATCATCAGGAAGTCAGACTTCAAGGCAAGCCCTCTGTCCTGAAACGACTCTTTCATGATCAGATAGCACAGGTATCAAAGAGAAAAGACAGAGATGGAGCTTTTGCAAGTTCCTGAACCCAGAAGCCATGGGGTTCTGAAAGACCAGCTGGAAACTGGATGAATTAATATCTGAATAGTTGAATAAACAAACCTGAGCTAGCCTTGCAGACTGAGTAGGATTTCTGTATGTGAGAGGGAGAAGGAGTGGAATTCCCATGGGAAGCAACCCAATTAAGGATCTAGAGCAAGCCACAAGCACGCGAGAACGGTATGACAGAACCATGGCTGCATCTGCTGCACTGGGGGTGACCTAGGTCAGGGCCGTAGCAGAGTCACGTCTCCAGGCAGCACCAGGCTGTCAGCGCTGTTTGGCAATGCAGCTGTGTGTCAGTTTCCTCCTTCATCCCTCTGTGGATATTCAGACTCCCGCCTCTCAGTGGACAGCCTTGCTGGCTTCAGTGATTAACATCAAGGCTATCAGTCATGAACTTCCTCAACCTCCTGTTTCTGCACCTACAAATTATTGTATTTATACCTACTCACAAATTCTTTCTTCCCCAGTCACAGGAAGAGATGTCCTATTAAAGACTAATTCCCCACACCACATTCATGCTTTCCTTTTTCCTCACAAAAACATCATTACTGCCGGGTGCAGTGGCTCACGCCTGTAATCCCAGCACTTTGGAAGGGCGACACGGGCGGATCACAAGTTCAGGAGATGGAGACCATCCTGGCTAACACGGTGAAACCTCGTCTCTACTAAAAATACAAAAAATTAGTCGGGCGTGGTGGCGGGCGCCTGTAGTCCCAGCTACTCAGGAGGCTGAGGCAGGAGAATGGCGTGAACCCGGGAGGTGGAGCTTGCAGTAAGACGAGATCGCGCCACTGCACTCCAACCTGGGCGACAGAGCAAGACACTGTCTCAAAAAAAAAAAAAAAAAAAAAAAAAAAATCATTACATCAGTTGTCACCCTCGACTCCTTTCAGGATCTTTCCCAAAAACTGTGAATAGGAAGTCTCATCATGAGCACATGAAACATTAATCCTATACCCTGTAGCTATTGCCCAATTCTATGGCTTAAATGGGTCCCTTCCAAAAATCAGGTGTTGTCAATGTGATAGAATTAAGAGGCATGGCCTTTAAGAGATTATTATGCTATGAGGGCTCCTCCTCTTGAATGGGATTAGGTATCCTAATAAAGGGATTCGAAGAGGAAATTGGTTCTCTCTTGCGCTTCTGCTTTCCACGTGAGGATGCAGCAAGAAGGCCCCCAAAAGGAGCCAGCATCTTGATTTTGGACTTCCCAGCCTCTAGCACGGTGAGAAACAAATTTCCTTTCTTTATAAATTACCCAGTCTGTGGTATCCTGTTATAGTAGCACAAAACAGACTAAAAATGCCTTTTCTTTCTCTTTCCTTTAACAGAAAAGCTTATTTTTTGTTAAATACTGTTTCACATTTTTCTCTACTTATAAAAGTAGTATACGTTCATTACAGAATATTTAGAAAACAAAGAAATATTTAGAAACAAAGAAAACTGTACAGAAAAAAAAAAAACCAACTTTGTAACCCTGCCACTCATTTTGGAATCTCTCCACCTGAGGAGACATATATATATATATATATATTTTTTTTTTTTTTTTTCAGATGGAGTCTTGCTCTGTCCCCCAGGCTGGAGTGCAGTGGCATGATCTCGGCTCACTGCAAGCTCCGCCTCCTGGGTTCATGCCATTCTCCTGCCTCAGTCTCACGAGTAACTGGGATTACAGGTGCGTGCCACCACACCCAGCTAATTTTTTTGTATTTTTAGTAGAGACAGGGTTTCACCGTATTAGCCAGGATGGTCTCGATCTCCTGACCTCGTGATCCACCCACCTCAGCCTCCCAAAGTGCTGGGATTACAGGCATAAGCCACAGCGCCCAGCCTCACCTGAGGATATTTTGTTTCTATGTGTATATATCTACATTCAGCATTTAATAGCTAACATTTTACTGAGCACTTTCTGTGTGCCAGGCTAACCACCACCCAGTGAGGGACTTTACCATGGCTGCACATCCTGTCAGTGGCCTAGTCAGGATTTGATCCCAGGGAGTCTGGCTTCAGAGGGTGAGATCTTAATCCTGCTCCTTATGCCTCTAATTTATACCAGAATTGGAATCATATAGTATAGGTAATGTTTTATATCCTGCATTTCACTTAGTGTTATATTCTAAGTATTTCTCAATATCACAAATTATGTTTTGTAAATGTAATTTCTAAGTTAGTATCACACTTTTCAATAGGATAGCTTGTCCTCTTCCATTCAGTTGTCAAACCATTGATTTTTGCCCTCACTTCTCACCACTCAACAGAAACAGATCCCAGAAGGATCATAGGTGACCTCTTCGAGGCTAACTCCATTGGACATGTTATAACCCTTCTCTTTCTTGACTCCTCAGGAATATTTGACACCATTGTACTCTCCTTCTTTCTGTCATCTAGTCAATATTTATTGAGCACCAGCAGAAACTTCCTCCTCTATCCATTTCCAAGACATGCTTTTCTTTGGTTTCCCTTTCTTTCCCTGGCCATGTTTTCTTAGCCTTTAAGTTCCTGGTCCTCAGTCCACACTTGAAGTGTGGGTTCCCCTGAGAGCCCCATGTCGGGGTTTTCACCAGCATTTTTCAGCCCTGACTGTGGCTAGGAATCACTGGAAATAACTGCCTAAAGTATTCAGAGTGGGGAGTGGGCTTCAATATTTTGAAGATGCTTCATGTCTTCCACTCAGTCTTTGCTTTTCCTCCTGTGTTCCCTATGTCAGAGAATAGCATACATCTCCACCCACTTACTTAAGCAAGGAAGCTTGCCTTCTTCCTCTCTCCCAATCAATCACTGTGTCCTGTTGATTCTACCACCTTATTATTTTTAAATGTTTCTACATCTCTCTATCTCCATTGTCATTACCTGCATTCAGCCCATCATCAGTTCTTACCTGGATTACTAAAATGCCCTTGTAGTTGACCCTGCCTCCAATCTTGCCTCACTCCAATCCTTAGGTTGTTGCTGTTTCACACTGAAAACAGCTTTCTTGTTTTTTTTTTCTGATTATGTAAATACTATAAGGTCAATATAAAAATGAAAAGAATCATAAAAATAAGAGGGAGAAAGAAATGATCACCTGAAATCCCACCGCCCTGAGATACCCTCATTCTTCCACTTTTTGGTGATTATCCTTTCATGCACTTTTTATGTTGATCAGTCATATGAGAAAACGGTCTGAACTTTGATCTTCATTGGGATTCAGATATCAGAGAGTGGCGCTGAAGGAGGAACAATTTTAATTAGGGACAAAGAAGGCCTAGAAAGAGGGTATGTATAATCGTAAACAAGTGTCATAATCTAATTGCTGTGGTTTGAATGTGTCCCCCAGATTTCATGTGTTGGAAACTTCATCCCCAATGTGGCAGTACTGAGAGGTTTGGGCCTTAAGGGATGAATGGATCGTGAGGGCAGAGCCATTATTCATGGATGAATGGATGAATGGGTTAGTGGATTAAAGTGTTATCATGGAAGGGGAACTGGTGGCTTTATAAGAAGAGGAAAAGGGGCCTGAGCTAGCATCTTAGCATGCTAAGCTCCCTTGCGATGTGATATCCTGTGCCACCTTAGGACTGTGCAGTCTCCACAAGCTATATCTTCAAAGTCATACAATGACTATAAAAGCACCAGCCATACATCCTTTTCAGGTAAGAAATGGGGAAGACCAGGGGCCAGAAAGAGCTTCACCTAAACTTCATCCAAATACTCCATCCAAAACTTCCACTTAAATTTCATTGGCCATTCCTATCTGCAAGAAGAGACACGTTTGAGCACATTGCTACCCCTAATGATGGAGGTTCTCTTAGTAAGGAAGAAAGAAATAATAGATTTAGGTAGGCAGCTAGCAGGCTGTACCTAAACACACACACAAACGGTTTTAGGGTTTTTGTTTTGCTATTGGTAGATGTCATCATTTTCCGAAAATTGGTTCAGAGTACATCTATACCTTTGCATACAGCTTTCCCCCACTTAATCACATTTCATCGAAATCTCTCCAAGTCCATTAATATAGATCTAACATATATTTAAATGGCTACACAATTCCCCATGTATAAGCACACTGTAATTTATTCATTCATTCCTCTAATGATGGGCTTCACTTGGTTTTCAGTGTTTCGCCAACTACAAACAATGCAGCAATAAGCACCTCTGTACATGCATTTTTTTTGTATTGGTGCTTTTATTTCTATAGAGTAGATTCCCAGCAGTGGGATTGCTAGGTTGAAGGGCAAATGTATTAAAATTGTATAGTCTTTGCCTGATTGCCAAAAGGTTTGTAGCAACTCATACTGCACCCAGCAATATATGAGTACCTATTTCCTTCTCATTCTTACCAATAGTAGATGTTTTCCCTCTTAATTTTTACCAATCTGAAGGGTATAAAGTGATATTACGTTATTACCTTAATTTTCATTTCCCTGATTGATAGTCATATTGAGCATCTTTTAAATCTACTTATTGGCCAGGCATGGTAGCTTATGCCTGTAATCCTCACACTTTGGGAGGCCAGGGAGGGTGGATCGCTTGAGCTCAGGAGTTCAAGACCAGTCTGGGCAACATGACGAAACCCCATCTCTACCAAAAGTACAAAAATTAGCTGGGCATGGTGGCCCACGCCTGTGGTCCCAACTACTTGGGAGGCTGAGGTGGGAGGATCACTGAAGCCCAGGGAAGTGAGGCTGCAGTGAGCCATGATCGTGCCACTGCACTCCAGTCTGGGCAACAGAGGGAGACCTAGTCTCAAATAAATAAATAAATATTGGACACTTAGAATTTCTCTTCTATGAATTACATTTCATTCAAGTCATCTATTTCTACTAGTTTTGTCTTTTCTAATCAATTTCTGAGAGTTTTTGTGTATTATGAATATTAATCATCAATTAATACAGTATAATTAGCATTCTAGCATACTACATAAAAACTTTATTGGCTGTTCTTTGCCTACAGAATAAAGTCCAGGTTTTTTAACAAAATGAAGTATGTTGTCTGGGCAGGAGATGGTGTTCAGATGCCTTTGATAGGGACAGTTAGGCAACTCCTTTCTCCCCATGTGTCCATTTACATACATCGATTTACACAGAGATTAAACAGTATGGTCTATGAGGAAAAGGTCTGAACCTTGTTTTGGTTGGACTTCAGTCATCTGATGGACTGGGGTGGCCCTGAGGGAGGCATGATTAAAGTGGTGGTGGTGTGGGGGGTGCTGAAAAGTAGGCCATCACAGAGCAGAAGGGATCTGGCCCCTTGGATCCAACCCAGCATTTGAGCCAGAATGTCCAAGAGCAGTGTCATTCTGGGTTCGCTGTGGAAGCCAATACTGGAACTTGTCTCACCTAGATGCTTTGGCAGCCTGTGTGGGTCCTGAGAGAAAATGGGTGTCTTAGTGTGTTTGGGCTGCTGTTATAAAAAATACCACAGACTGGGTAATTTATAAACAATATACTTTATAAACAATAGACATTTATTTCTTACAGACTGGGTAATTTACCACAGACTGGGTAATTTATAAAACTGGGTAATTTATAAACAATAGACATTTATTTCTTCCAGTCTAGAGGCTAGGAAGTCCAAGGGCAAGATGCCAGCAGATTTAGAGAGCTTGCTCTTTGCTTCCAAGATGTCACCTTCTTGCTGTGTGTTCACAAAGCAGAACGTACAAATGCTATGTTCTCACATGATGGAAAGGCAAACAGGGCCAGGTAGCTCTCTGAAGCCTCTTTTGTGTATGTATGTATGTATTTATTTATTTATTTTTAACACTGTCTCACTCTGTCACCCAGGCTGGAGTGCAATGGCACGATCTTGGTTCACTGCAACCTCTGTCTCACAGGTTCAAGCGATTTTTGTGCCTCAGCCTCTCAAGTAGCTGGGATTACAGGCGCCCACCAACACGCCCGGCTAATTTTTGTAACTTTAGTGGTGACGGGGTTTCACCATGTTGGCCAGGCTGGTCTCAAACTCCTGACCTCAGGTGATCCACCTGCCTTGGCCTCCCAAAGTGCTAGGATTACAGGCGTGAGCCGCCTCGCCCAGCCTGAAGCCTCTTTTATAAGGACATTAGTGTCATTCGCAAGGGCAGAGCCCTCATAACTCAATCACTTCCCGAAAGGCCCCACCTCTTAATACTCTTGCATTGAGGATTAAGTTTCAACATGGATTTTGGAGAGACACAAACATTCCAACCATTGCAGGGGCTTGTGTGGAGGTTTAAAGAGCTGTTACTTTGGAGCCAAGCAGGCTTGCCATGGAACCCTTAATTGACCTGTAGCCAATCAGAGCATTTTCCTTCACACTTGACTAGAGCAGTGGCAATAAAGTCTGGTCTTCAGATGCAGGAGCGATGCTCCAGTTTCAACATTATGAACCTAATTGTCTAGGTATTCATGCCAATAACAGGAAAAATGTTCCAACCTTGTGTTGGTACCCTGTTAAATCATTAAGACTTGGAACTGCAGAATTGCAGCCTGGCTAGACATGGTAGCAAGTGGTAATCTAGGTGGGTTCATGAAAACATAAAAGTACTCCACAAAGAGTCCCCTAAGTATTTGGTAGAAAAGACTCTGAAAATAACTTTGATTTCCTGCATGGATCTTGACTTCTTTTAGTTAAGCCAGTGAGACTCAAGAGTTTGTGAGAGCTGGGTATTGACGCTAATGGGATCACCACTATACACACTGATGAAGGCCAAAACCAGCAGCTTCCATTCTCACTGTGAACATAATGGACCTTGCTCACCTCTCCAGCCTTATCTCCTGCAATTTTCTCTGTTCTGAATATGTTGAGCCAGTAATAAATTCCTCCAGCCAGTAATACATTTTTTGTCTACTGTAACTTTGCGTATGCTATTCTGTCTTCCCGAAACACTCAATCTCTCAGCTGCATTATTTATTGGCTAACTCTTTTGAGTCACTGCCTAATTCAGGAAGTCCTCCTTGATTCCTCCAGTTGGGGCTTCAGGTCTCTCCTAAAGTTCCCATCACATTCCTTGTGCCCCCAAATGCCACCCCTTCTATCAGACTGTGCACTAGTTTCCTCAGCACTGAGTGCAGTGTTTGACACGTAACAAACACTCAATCATGTTTTTTGTTATTGTTGCTGTTTGTTTTTTGTTTTGTTTTGTTTGAGACAGAGTCTCGCTCTGTCGCCCAGGCTGGAGTACAGTGGCGCGATCTCGCCTCACTGCAAGCTCCGCCTCCCGGGTTCACGCCATTCTCCTGCCTCAGCCTCCTGAGTAGCTGGGACTACAGGCGCCCGCCGCCACACCTGGCTAATTTTTTGTAGAGACGGGGTTTCACTGTGTTAGCCAGGATGGTCTGGATCTCCTAACCTCGTAATCCACCCACTTCAGCCTCCCAAAGTGCTGGGATTACAGGCGTCAGCCACCACGCCTGGCCTCAATCATGTTTAATAAAAAAAAAAAAGTGTTTGCCAGAGAACCCATATAGGAGAGAAACCTTATGAGTGCAATAAATGTGGGAAAGCTTTTACTGATAAGTCATGCCTTAACAAACATCAGGGCGGGTGCGGTGGCTCACGCCTGTAATCCCAGAACTTTGGGAGGCTGAGGCAGGCGGATCACTTGAGGTCAGGAGTTCAAAACCAGCGTGGCCAACATGGTGAAACCCCATCTCTACTAAAAATGCAAAAAATTAGCTTGGTGTGGTGGTGCACGCCTGTAATCCCAGGTACTCGGGAGGCTGAGGCAGGAGAATTGCTTGAACCCCGGGGGGCAGAGGTTGCAGTGAGCCAAGATTGTGCCATTGCACTCCAGCCTGGGCGGCAGAGTGAGACTCTGTCTCAAAAAAAATCAAAGAATACACACACACAGTGTTTGCATGTGCTCAACACTGTGCTCGTGTTTTCTAAGAGAAATAAATAACATATTCCCTGACCTCAAGTAACTGATAATCCAGCTAGGGATGCAGGGTTTTTTGGGTTGTTGTTTGTTGTTTCCTCCTAACAAACTACTGCATAATTATACAGATATAAAATGAAACATTCAGTGTACATAATATACCTGTAAGGACGATGAGAGTTGAGAGATGGGGACATAATAGAGCCATATGCATCCACGAAAGAGAGAATATTCTGTTAGTGGATATTTCTATAGAGTTCAAAAATAACCGCCAAACATATCAAATATTGAATATGTGAAACCCTCTGTGCCAGTCACAGAAACCTTAAACTAAAAAGAGGGGAAATTGCTGGCTTTAAGGGCTTATGATTTAGTCAGGACCACTTCAGATTCTGTTTGGAAGTAGACAGGGCATACACACTTAACAAACAGGTAACAAAGAACGAGTACCACAGCTGGAGTGACAGGGCAGGGTGGCCACATAAAAACAAAGCAAATCAGTTTCACTCATTAAAATAGAAAATATTAAAATAAAGATAATATGCAGCCTTCTTAGCTGGGGGTGCTGAAATATTACTATTATACACTATTAGTGGGAGGGTAAATTGGTGCATATTTCCTTAAAGGCAAATTATATATCTTATATCAAGACTTTCAGAAATGTTCTGACTCTGACCCAGTAGTTCTATTCTAGTAATTTATATTAAGGAAATAATCAGAGACATGGACACTTACGTACAAGAATATTAATAGCAGTGTTATTCTTTTTTTTTTTTTTTTTTTTTTGAGACAGAGTCTCGCCGTGTCTCCCTGGCTAGAGTGCAGTGGCACAATCTCGGCTCACTGCAAGCTCCACCTCCTGGGTTCATGCCATTCTCCTGCCTCAGCCTCCCAAGTAGCTGGGACTACAGGCACCCGCCACCACGCCTGGCTTTTTTTTTTTTTTTTTTTTTTTGCATTTTTAGTAGAGACGGGGTTTCTCCGTGTTAGCCAGGATGGTCTCGATCTCCTGACCTCGTGATCTGCCCACTTCGGCCTCCCAAAGTGCTGGGATTACAGGCATGAGACACCGCACCTGGCCAGCAGTATTATTCTTAATGGAGAACAAAATAAAAACAGTCAAAATGTTGAACAATAGAGAATCGGTAAATAACTTATGATTCACCAGTATAATGGATATTATGCAGCCATTAAAATCTATGTTTTTCTGATAATTTTAGCATTATGGGAAATTTTTCATGTCATAAAACTGAGTGAAAAAATATAAAAAACTATGGACAGATTATCTACATTTTATGACTGCAAACCCCTAGATATTATCAGTGGTGGAATTATAAGCAGTTCTTTTTTTCTTCCTTATCATTTTCTTTATTTTCTAAATTTCCTACAAGTATGTATAATTTTATCTTTAGAAAACGTTTTTGTTTTGTTTTGTTTTTGAAATGGAATCTGCTCTATCGCCCAGACTGGGGAGCAGTGGCCCAATCTCAGCTTACTGCAACCTCCACTTCTTGCATTCAAATGATTCTCCTGCTTCAGCCTCCCAAGTAGCTGGGATTACAGGCGCCCACCCCCATGGCCTGGCAATTTTAGTATTTTTAGTAGAGACAGGGTTTCACCATGTTGGCCAGGCTGGTCTTGAACTGCTGACCTCAGGTGATCTGCCCGCCTCGGCCTCCTAAACTGCTGTGATTATAGGCATGAGCCACGGTGCCTGGCCAGAAAAGGTTTTAATTTTTAATGCAAATAAATTGATAGGACAAGGTAGTTTATGCTCAAAGCATAAACTTTGCTCAAAGCAAGACAAAGAAGTGACAGTAAACTCACATTAATGCAGAATGATTGGGAATTGCACCCCTCTTTTGTTTTCATGCTGTATGGCTATAGCCTTCTTCTCTACAATCTCTGCAGTTTTTGACAGGGAGGTGCATAAGAGAGAATTGGAGAATGACACTACCATTTCTTTTTTGTTGTATTCAAGTGTTTCATGCAAAGTTTGTGGGTGGAGCAACTTGGAGGACACAGTGGTCACATCCTATTACCTATATCCCATGAATCTTTTCTTTCCTTGGTTATCCTAAAATAATGCTTGATGAAGAAAAGGCAGGGAACAGCAAAGGAGTGCTGGCTATAGCATCACGAGCCCTGAGAGGGTTTGCCAGGCAAGCAGAAAAAGCCCTTTTCACCATCAAGTGGTGATCATCCTCATGGTCCTGAGTCCTTAGTGACCATTCAGGAACATCTGGCCTGCCCCAGGCACAATAAGGTTAACAGTGTCTCAGTCCCTTTAACCTGGTGGAGGGATGAGACTGAGATAAGGATTGAATGATGAAAGAAAAAGCAGGCGGGCTAGGCACAGAGGTTCCCGCCTATAATCCCAGCACTTTGGGAGGCCGAGGTGGGCGGATCACCTGAGGTCAAGAGTTCAAGACCAGCCTGACCAACATGGTGAAACCTTGTCTCTACTAAAAATACAAAAATTAGCTGAGTGTGGTGGTGCACGCTTGTAGTCCCAGCTACTTGGGAGGCTGAGGTGGGAGAATTGCTTGAACCCGGGAGGTGGATGTTGCAGTGAGCCAAAATCACACCACTGCACTCTAGCCTGGGTGACAGAGTGAGACTCTGTCTCAAAAAAAAAAGAAAAGAAAAGAAAAAGCAGGTGCACATGTCTGCCAAAATATGGATAAGACTGCCTAGGAAATCAACCCAGTTAATATGTATGCTTCAAGCAGATGATCGATGAACATCTGACATGCAAAAACTAGCTTCCATTTGTGTCACATTCCCCCTAGTTCATCAAGGGATTTTACATTTATGATTTTATTTGATCCTAACCACAACCCTTTGAGAGAGGCCCCAGTCTTCCCATTTTACAGATGAGATCATCAAGGCTCAATAAGATCAAAGGTTTTGCCCAAGGTCTCTCTCAGTTAATAGCAGCTGGAGCAGAAACCCAGACTTCTGGTTCCTCCGATTCTTTCTTGTTTGACACATTTAAGCCCTGACAGAAATATTCTCATACAAGAATAGTCACAAATAATACTGAAATGTGAAAAGAAAAATGAAAATCTGTCTATCTACTGGAAGTTTTATTCATGTGCTCTTAGCTACTATTTCTCCTTTTGAAATTTCATTTCTCAGCTCTTATCATGAATGCCAAGAAGAAACACAACAGACAGGCCCAAGGCACTACCTCTGGGCCTTAGTCAGATTTCATTCTCAACCCAACCCTGTGAAGTGAGTGACCGTCCCCATTTTATAACTAAGGACCCTGCAGGATCAGAGAGATCAAGCAACTTACTCAAGGAGATGTGACTAGTAAGTGGCCCGGGCAGGACTTGTACTGGATCCTTTTGGCCACAGAACTCAGGCACTTTCCAAGGTACTACAAAGCCTCCTCAGGCAGGAGGTGCTCAATAAACATCCTTGGCTTGCTCTAATCCATCAAAGGAGATTTGACCAACTTGGATGTTTAAGAGCCGTACCACCAGAGCAGATCAGGTTAGTACACACAGAGATGCATTTGCAGGTCATGCGTCAGACAGAAGACAGCTCACCTTCATCAGTCAAGCAGATTTGAACTCCCCCTTTCTAGAAAACCTTCCTGCTTGCTGGAATCTGCTTAGCTTTAGAACACTCTAGTTACCTCTCCCCTTTCCTAGCTTACCCTCCAAATGATCTTCCCTTGAGACATTTACTGAGCAGTCACAAAAGTATCTTCAGTCCATCCACATGACAATTGCTTAGGTGTTTGCAGGAGAGGAACCCATCTCAGGTTTTTGATCCACAGGAGGCAGGGTCCTGAGATGCCTCAGTCACTGCAGACAAGGCCCAAAGAAGCCCCGAATCCTCTGCACCCACCTCCCTCTCACCAAAAACCCTTTTCGGGGGAAGAGTGGAATCATCTTACACGAGAAGAACTTAATATCTCAAATGAAACAACAGCCAAGTTTCTCTTCTCCAGGAGAAAAGAGATTTCCAGACTCTGAGTTAAAAAAAAAAAAAAGAAGTCATTTTTTGGAGTTTCCTCTTTCCAATCTCTTTTACAACAGCTCTCTGAACTTTCAACTAGACTCACTGTCTTTTCTCATACTCACGCCCTTCATCCCATGTCCAGCCTCACTGTCTTCCTGTCTTCAGCTCTACTATTGGTGGTCTGGGCCCTGGCTGAGCACCACAACCTATACAGATCATGCTCAAGGCAGGAAGTCAAGGCTTCACTCTGTCACTACATTTCTTGCTGCTTAGCATTTGTGTATTTTCGACATATGTTTTTCCAGTCTCCCATTAAATTAGAATCACAGAATGTTAGGAATGGAAAGAACTTAAGAGCCCTTTAGTTCATGGAGCAGCTCCACAGCCTGTTCCCAAACACCTCTAGGGGCTTTGGCATTTGACCCAGAACTCCCCTCACATTACAGCAGCAGTTCCCAGCGGGTAGGAGCTTTCCCTTGTACTTCTGCCTCATTGCCTCCACAACTGACGCAAGGATCTCCAAAATCAGGGTTCAGTGTTGTTGACAAGGGGAGCAGAATTTTCTAGCTCCAAGCACCCTCAAAGGTCCTCTTTGTTTTGCCAACAGTCCTGCAGGTACAGGCATAGCTGCTTTGCCCCACTTTGGTGGTGCTGAGGAATGGCAGGCATGACTACTCTAAGGCTGAGGTCAAGCCACCCATCCTGCCTCTGATCCCTGTCCCCCATGCCACCACCCCAGCCTGGTGCCCTCTCTACCCTAGACTAAGCTGTCTCTATTCTGTGAGCATGAGAGGAGGAACTGTAGTATAGGATAGTGTAGTGTAAAGACTCTTCTATATCCCTTCCTGGGCAAGTCTTGCCCCCACATGTTCCAGCCTGGGAATCTCAGCACGGCATTTGTGTTCACTGCTGGCTTGGGTTGGGAACCGTAATCACACCCTGATGAGGATTAATAAGCTTCCTGGGCCTGTTGGGTGACTGTGCCTCAGAAACTGTCCAATCCAGAGCTGGGTCTATCCCCATAGCACAGCATGCTTTGCTATGAGTCAGAGCTTTGCAAATGCTGAAATTACCACCACCATGTTCCTAGGGATGACACATACTCCCAAATGCCATCACTATATATTTTCTTCCACAGTAAGCCTTATAGCTGGTCTGCAGGTTGGCTTAAATTTTGGTTAAGTTTCTTTTTGTCTCAGTTCTCAATTATTCCTGCTAGGGGAAGCAGTGGTCATTTGGATAATCCAAAAGGATGGATTATCTAAAAATAATTTGAATTTATCTCTGGAATGTGTTAGGTGATTTATTTGTTTTAAGCACAGCAGTTACCTTTCTAATGATACTTAATCAGGGTAATGTGAAAGAAATAGCATTCCATCACCACAGATGAGTTAGATAGGCAGTTCTGGAGGTTGGGGAGAGAGGAGCAAGTGAGGCAGGGTTACGAAACAACGTGGTCAACATCCACACTGGCCAGAGATACCCACACTCAGTCCCTACATGTATAGAGGATTACACAGGCTCTGTGATTTTGCTCCCAGGGGTACATTCACACATCTTGCCATCTTCCCATTGGCTAGAGAGGTCTTCCATCCTGAGAATGAGAGAGGGCAAATCAGGCGGACAATGAAGTGCCTTCTGTGTCCAGAAAGTTGAGAGTGGTCCTTAAAGTAAAAAAAGGGTGGAATTTAATGTTCCTTTTCCAACAAGTATGGGAAGTCCCCCTTGAGAGATAGTGTAGGTTTTTGGGAGCCCATGGATGGCCAGCTCCCTGTTGCCCTCGCTAGGATCTTAGAACTCCTTTCTCTGGGTATCAGGACACAAGAAGACTCCAGTGAGCAGAGAATGGGACAGCGACAGTGTGAAATATATAGATTTTAGACCAGAAGAAAAGGATTGCCTCTTGTTGGCTATGGGATCTTGGGCAAATTTCTGAATTGCTCTGACCCTTACTGCACCCGTCTGAAAAAACGTAAACAACAACAACAGTAAGAGTAGCTACCATACAGATGAGTGGTTGCTATGATCTGAATGTTTATGTCCCCGCAAAATTCCTATGTTGAAATTCTAACCCCTAAGGTGATGATATTAGGAGGTAGAACGTTTGGGGAGGTGATTGGGTCATGAGAACAGCACCCTTATGAATACAATCAGTGCCCTTACACAATAGGTCCAAGGGAGCTTGTTCATCCCAACCACCATGTGAGGGTACAAGTAGAAAGTGCCATTTATGAACCAGAAAGCAGTCACCAGACACTGAGTCTGCCAGTGTCTTGATCTTGGACTTCTCAGACTTCAGAACAGTGAGAAATACATTTCTGCTATTTATAAGCTAACCAGCCTCTGGTATTTTGTTATATCAGCACAAATGGACTAAGATAGTGGCAGCTAAATAATATTTGTGAAAGTATTTTGGAAGCTCTAATGTCCTGTTCAATTGTTAGTTATTACCATAACCTGTGACTGGCCCTATAAAACCCAATCACAGTCCTGAAAATGGAACTCAAAGGGCACGCCCTCCCTAAGGTGAAGGCAGCGTTTGAAGGACTGTATGTTCTCAGCACCTAAGGGGTATATTCAGGTGTGTACTTAATCATTTCTATTCTGATTCTGACGAAGATAAAGATAGCACAAGAACCCAGAGGAAGACTGACTGCCTACCTGCATGGAGTCCTTTCTCATTTTCTTAACATTTGGTTGAATTTGTTAATGATTCTAGATCACAGCCTCTTCAGATATTGGCCTCTTCAGAAATGCTTGGCAGTGGAATTGCCATCTACCTTGAATGCCAGGTTGGAATCTGCCCAGACTCTCAATAAGAGAGCACTTCCAAACACTCTGCCCAGGCTCCCTTATCTAAGATCCTCTCTTCAAAAAGTGGGTAGAAGGTGGGGAGATGGGGGAGGCAGGGAGTGGGGAAGGGTAGTGGTGGGGCGTTTGCCACTGCTGAACTTCAACTTTCCCGCTTGACTATCTTCTTCTCCCACAGAGAAGAAAGAAAGAATTGCGACTGAAGTTTCAAGATACCCTAAGTTTTCCTTCTCTAGTCTGTAGCCTCCTTCTTGTCTCTCAGTTTGCCCCCTTCTTTCTTTTCACCATTGCTCACACCCTTGGCTTTCCTGTTTCTGTTTTTTTTTTTTTTTTTTTTTTTTTTTGTCCTTAGATCTTAAACCACCGGGCCTCTGGATCAAATGGCAGACTCCTTTAGAGGAAAATGGGATATTTGTTCTGGGACCAGAGAGGTAACCTGCAGGCTCTAATAGTTGCTGAGGAAAAGGAGCAACATGTTCACCTGGATGATTCCAAATGGCCTACTCTGGTTTAAGGTTAGGTATGGTTATTCCAAAAGTCTTCACAGACTTCTGTTCCTAACCCATTCAAACCCAAAAGAACTCTAATTCTACATGTAGCCATCAGCTATGTCTTAGTCTATTGGGCTGTTATAACGAACTGTCATAGTCCGAGTGGCTTATAAATAACAGAAATTTATTTCTCACCCTTCTGGGAAGTCCAAGATCACGACATGTGGGAGAATCAGTGTCTGGTGAGGGCCTGCTTCCTGGTTCATAGATGGCCATGCTTACATGGCAGAGGGCCAAGGGATCTCTCAGGGTCTCTCTTCTAAGGGCACTAATCCCATCAGTGAGGTCGCTACCATCATGACCTAATAATCTCCCAAAGACCCCACCTCCTAATACTATCACACTGGGGATTAGGTTTCACCATATGAATGTTCTGGGGGACACAAACATTCAGACCGTATCAAGCTGCAGTTAGTTCTTTACCTCAGGATCTTTAATTATCCTTCAATTACCCATCTGCCACCTCCCACACCTTCAACTGCTTCCTACTTTTCATTGTGATTAAGTTTCAAATTGTCTCCAGTGGACATAGTATTTCTAAAAATAGAATTCTTAAGCAATAAGGATGTAGTAAATCAGGAATCTTCAGAAGGTGCATATTCTGTCTGAGGTCAGGTTCTCTAGAGGCAGAGTCTAATGCAGGGATCATTGTGCAGGTGACTTTGAGGAGGAGTGCTCTAGAAGAAACCTGAAAGGTTTCTACGGCTTTAACACTCATCTTAAATAACTGTCCTAGTCACCCTCTAACACTCGCCCTATCTTTTTTTTTTTTTGTCCGAATCTTGCTCTGTTGCCCAGGCTGGAGTGCAATGGCACGATCTTGGCTCACTGTAACCTCCAGCTCCCGGGTTCAAGCAATTCTCCTGCCCCAGCCTGGGGCTTAGCTGGGATTACAGGGGTGCACCACTACGCTCGGCTAATTTTTGTATTTTTAGTAGAGACAGGGTTTCACCATGTTGGTCAGGCTGATCTCGAACTCCTGGCCTCGTGATCCACCTGCCTCAGCCTCCCAAAGTGCTGGGATGATAGGCGTGGGCCACCACGCCCGGCCCACTCACCCTATCTTATAGCACTTATCGCTGTAAGGTTTGCTCATTTATCTGTTTACTTACCTTTTTCCCATCTTCCTGCTACTAGAGTAAAAGCTCCATGACAGTGTGAGCTTACCTGGGTTTTTGTTTTGTTTTGTTTTGTTTTTATTTGGGTTTGTCCTTGTTGTTGTTTTACTGCTTTATCCAGTGCCTGGAGCATAGAAGACACTCAGTAGATAGTTGTTTAATAAGATAATGAATGAGTACATAGTTTAAAATAATGTCTACTACAACTGTGTAATACAATGGAAAAATAACCAAAATCTACACTTAAGTGAAAAGATCATGATGTAAAATGTCATGTGTTACATAATTAGATCTGTGTTGAGAGAACTTCTGTTCCTCGCCACGATGAAATAATAGACTCCAGGGATTTACTTTTTTTTTTTTTTTTTGAGATGGATGAAGTTTCTCTCTTGTTGCCCAGGCTGGAGTACGATGGCTCCATCTCGGCTCACTGCAACCTCTGCCTCCTAGGTTCAAGCAATTCTCCCGCCTCAGCCTCCCTAGTAACTGGGATTACAGGTGCTCACCACCACGCCCAGCTAATTTTTTGTATTTTTAGTAGAGACGAGGTTTCACCATGTTGGCCAGGCTGGTCTCAAACTCCTGACCTCAGGTGATCCACCCGCCTTGGCCTCCCAAAGTATTGGGATTACAGGCGTGAACCACAGCACCCAGCCAGGGATTCACTTTCTTACCTGAAACTACTAAAAATCTGAACAAACTATACGACACAACAGTTTCAGGATTTGGTTAGTTAGCACAGGATTGTGTCCCTGAAAGAAGGGAGGGGAAAACCAAGGTCAGTCCTATGATTGCTTCAGTTTAACTGGCTACAGGCAGTTTCCTGGCTGCAGTGTGGGGAAGAGGAACCCAAGCACAGCCTCGTGCTCTCACTGAGTTGAGAGACTGAAGTTTAGGAATGCTGAGATGGCGAGAATTTGAGAGGCAACATATCAGGGAGGAGGAACCTGCCCTGCAAGAGAGCTCCAGAGATCTGCAGGTTGATAATTTGACTGGGTACTGATCTGTGCATGTAGGAGAGAAAACAACATGAAACTGCGTAAAACAAACATACATGCAATAGAAAGCAAGGACATCGGGCCGGGCGCGGTGGCTCACACCTGTAATCCCAGCACTTTGGGAGGCGAAGTGGGCAGATCACGAGATCAGGAGTTTGAGACAAGCCTGGCCGATATGGTGAAACCTCGTCTCTACTAAAAATACAAAAATTAGCCAGGCGTGTTGCCATGCGCCTGTAGTCCCAGCTACTCAGGAGGCTGAGGCAGGAGAATCGCTTGAACCTGGGAGGCGGAGGTTGTAGTGCGCCGAGATCGCGCCACTGACTCCAGCCTGGGCGACAGTGACTCCGTCTCAGAAAAAAAAAAGAAAGAAAGAAAGAAAGCAAGAACACCCCAAATTCCTGAAGGTCACGGAATTCAGTTCCCATTAGGCAGAGTGGAAAGACCTCATCACACACAGAGCATTAAGTAGAGTCCACAGAAGGGTATGGTCATGGTGGTGGGGCTAAATAAGCCCTAGACTACCTGTTGCTCTGGACCCACCCTAACAAAGCTTAAAAGCAAGCCTTGAAGGGATCAGATTAAATCTAAGTAACTTAACTGAACAAAGTAGAGCATTATTTAAAGGATTACAACAAAATCTAGTATCCAACAAGGTAAAATTCACAATATCCAGCGACCAGTCGAAGCTTGCCAAGCATGCATCACAATAGGAAAATAGTACCCATAACTAGGAGAAAAGTCAGTCAGTAAAAACAGACCCAGAAGTGGCAGAGATGATGAAATTAGCAGATAAGAACCTTAAAAACAACTACTATAAGCATGCTTCACATGCTGAGGAAGATAGAAAACCTGAGCCAGGTGTGGTGGCTCACGACTGTAATCCCAGCACTTTGGGAGGCAGAGGCGGGTGGATCACTTGAGGTCAGGAGGCAGAGGCGGGTGGATCACTTGAGGTCGGGAGGCAGAGGCGGGTGGATCACTTGAGGTCAGGAGGCAGAGGCGGGTGGATCACTTGAGGTCAGGAGGCAGAGGCGGGTGGATCACTTGAAGCCAGGAGTTCGGGACCAGACTGGCCAATACAGTGAAGTCCCGACTCTATTAAAAATACAAAAATTAGCTGGGCGTGGTGGCATGCACCTGTAATCCCAGCTACTTGGAAGGCCGAGGCATGAGAATTGCTTGAACCCCGGAGGCGGAGGTTGCAGTGAGCTGAGACACCACCACTGCACTCCAGCCTGAGCGATAGAGACTCTGTCTCAAAAAAGAAAATAAAAATAGATAGAAAACATGAACACAATGAAAGGATAAACTGAAGATACAAAAAAGATCCAAACGAAACTCCTAGAGATGAAAAATACATTTGAAATGGAAAGTATACTGCATGGGATTAAGAACAAATTGGACGATGCAAAAGAAAAGATCAATAAATTGAAAACATAGCAATAGAAACTGTCTAGAGAAAAACAACTAAAGAAACAAAAAATAAAGAGAGAGAGGTAAAGAGAGTGAGCTTCAGTTACCTGAGAGACAATATTAAGCAGTTTAACATGGAATTTAAGTCCCAGAAGAGGGGAATAAGAAATTTTTTTTGAAAAAATAATGGCTGAAAATTTCCCCAAATTGATGAAAACCATAAACTCACGCATACAAGAAGCTCAATAATCTCCAAGCAGAGTAAATATAAAGAAAACTGGCCAGGCACAGTGTCTCACACCTGTAATCTCAGCACTTTAGGAGGCTGAGGCAAGAGGATCGCTTGAGCCCAGGAGTTTGAGACCAGCCTCAGCAACATAGTGAGACCTTGCCTTTATTTAAAAAAAAAAAAAAAAATGAAGGCATGGTGGCACACACCTGTGGTCCCAGCTACTGGAAAGGCTGAGGTAGGAGGATTGCTTGGGCCCAGGAGGCAGAGGTTGCAGTGAACCGAGATTGTGCTACTCTAGTCTGGGTGACAGAGTGAGACTCTGTCTCAAAATAAAATAAAAAATCAACCTTGGACCTTCGTTTGTCACCCAGAAATTCAGTCAACGGGTCAGTCCATCAGACCAATAGCAGTAGTGAGCACCACTTGCATAGAGAAAAAAGCCAGCCCGCCAGGATAAAATAGGAGGGTCCCGAGGCCTTAACTGTGCAGAAGTGCTTCCCACACAAAGGTTTCCTCACCTGTCAGTGTCTACCCCAACAAGCACCAGAGAACCATCATGAAAATGTACAGTGAATGTGAGGGAGGGCCAATCACATTAACATTAAATGTGAGGGAGGGCCAATCACATTAACATTAAATGTGAGGGAGGGCCAATCACATTAACATTAGCAGGACTGTACCTTGAAACCGTTAACCCTGGGAGAAAGAATGGTTGAACAGTAAGCTTTCTGCATTGTTGAGATGAAGCCAGCAACAGTAGGCAAGAAGGTCGTAGCAGGAAGAAGGAAGTATTCTCTGGAGACCAACTCTCCTGTTTCAGTTTCGTCCCTGGGGCTAGTCCTGCTGAGTCCTGTAAGGTAGTAGTGTGGTGGTTCTTAATCTTTTTTTTTTCTTTTCGTGTTGGAGGCACATCTTTGACTATTAGAATTTGGTGTAGCAGATTTGAAAAAATATGTATTGTAAAACTGAAAATGATACCAAAGTAAGCAGTAATTTCACCTGCAGTCATTGCCAAAATATTAAGTTCTCACAGCATTTACAGCACTCATAGAGGCAGCACCAGTTTTCGGTCCTTCTATAATACATCACCATCTAGAAACGGCCTGTTTATAGACCCCTAAAGCCATCTCTTACATACTCTAGAGACAAAGTTCTCATGTGTTCCAGTCAACACAGGAGTTTTTTTGTTGATTTGTTTAGGGTGGGGGTGGTGGGTGCTGGCTCCATGTCATATTATTTCCTCCTCTATCTAGAAGAAAGTTTACGTCGCTCTCTGTACCCATAATGTGAACCCCTTGAGTCAGCAGTGAGTATTCTGACATACACTGAATCCTCAGTTGTAGCAAAAAGTGATTTTTTTTTTTTGAGATGAAGTCCCACTCTTGTCACCCAGGCTGGAGTGCAGTGGCACAATCTCAGCTCACTGCAACCTCCGCCTCCCGGGTTCAAGTGATTCTCCTGCTTCAACCTCCCAGGTAGCTGGGATTACAGGTGGCCTGCCACCATGCCCAGCTAATTTTTGTATTTTTAGTAGAGATGGGGAGACGGGGTTTCACCGTGTTGGCCAGGCTGGTCTCAAACTCCTGACCTCAGATGATCTACCCGCCTCAGCCTCCCAAAGTGCTAAGATTACAGGCGTGAGCCACTGCTCCCGGCCCTCAAAAGGTGATCTTTAGTATTTTTAGTAGAGACAGGGTTTAACCGTGTTAGCCAGGATGGTCTCGATCTCCTGACCTTGTGATCTGCCCATCTCGGCCTTCCAAAGTGTTGGAATTACAGGTGTGAGCCACTGCACCCAGCCGCATTGGCCAATATTTGACAGTGCCCTGTGAAAGGATTGGCAGGAGAAGAAAATAAATAGGAAACAGTTTTCCAGCCACAAGAAATTCAACTCAATTCAATCAAGGCTGACTAAACACCTGCTGCATCTAAGTCCTTGAGCCAGGGTGGGCTTCTGTCCCTAGCAGAGGCTCTTCAGCCTGGAGGCGCACCGCTGGGCTGGGGCAGGACCAGTTAAAAGTGAGGAAACCATACATGTACGTCAGAGATATGTTTTCTCTCTTTTCCCTTTGGGAAGATGTTCTTGGGAGTTCTTTGCCAGGAAGTTGGTCACTTCCTGCCCAAATGATGAGGTTTCCAAAAGGTATAAATAGATTCACTTGCCACATGGAATTGGCTGAAGATGCCTCCACATGCCAGAAGGAAGCCTTGGGAGGGTTCTTTCCAGTATCAGGGAGCTCAGAGACAGGAGGCAGCAGCTGCCAGAGAAGCAGCACCAGCACCAGCCGGGCCCAGTGGGCTTCAGGGCTGAGGGCAAAAGGGCCTGGAAAAGTAACAAGTCTGTTGCGGAAAGTGCCGGGACTAACGTGCTGTGAGTACGGTGAAGCATATGAGAGAAAAGAGCATAGTAAATGATGAATAAGTATAAGAAATGCGGCCGGGCGCAGTGACTCACACCTATAGGCCCAGCACTTTGGGAGGCCGAGTCGGGCAGATCATCTGAGGTCAGGAGTTCGAGACCAGCCTGGCCAACATGGTGGAACTCTGTCTCTACGAAAAATGCAAAAATTAGCTGGGCATGGTGGCGCACACCTATAATCCCAGCTACTCTGGAGGCTGAGGATGGAGAATTGCTTGAACATGGGAGGTGGAGGTTCCAGTGAGCTGAGATCATGCCACTGCACGCCAGCTGAGGCAACAGAGTGAGACTTCGTCTCAAAAAAAAAAAAAGTAAGAAATGCGTTTGTAAGGATCTGCAGAAGGAAAAAAGAAGACTACTAGAAATGTCAGTACCTGCTCAGTGAGTCATGCAGGGTGAACCACATACAGGAAGGGGTCAGAGGGTGCAAGAAGGGGAAGAACATGATAACTTATAGGGCCAAAGGCTGTGAGACTCACCTGGTTGTGCTAAAGAATTCTCCATGTAGGCATTGGTGTTACATTCAAATTTGTGTTGCACATATATTGTTTTTGTGTAACTTTAAGTGCGTACTAAGTTCTATTGGTACTTTATCCATGGGAGTAATTAAATTATCAAACACATCCTTTTTTGCTAATGGTATTGCTCTGCCAAGGTAAAAAGGACCCCTGCCTTGGGCCTTTGCTTTAGACCTTAATTATTCAAAGTGTGGCCCTTGTACCAGCAGCATCAACAGCACCTGGAAGCTTGGGAGAAATGCAGAATATCAGGCCCTACCCCATACCTACTTAATAAGATCCCAGGTGATTCACATGTGCATTAAAGTCAGAGAACTGTGCTTCCTCCAGCTGTGTCTCTCCTCACTGCAGGCACGGTCCTCAGGGCCAAGGAGACGTGGCCATCCAGCACCCCTTCCCTTCTAGATCATGCTCCAGGTAGCTGGGACACCAGAATACTCTGGACATTGGCCCTCTCTGACCCTGCCCCCAGAGTTTTTGTGGCCCATCCCCTCAGGGATGGCCTCATTGCCACCATGAGATCTCTGGGCCTGAGAGGTGGCCTCGGGGCAGCTGTTGGCAGGACATGTGGACAGAGGTTGGACCACATTCTGGAGTATCCACAGGCTTGCATATGAGGTCCCTTGGACAGAGCCAGAAGCAGGAAAGGAAGCAGAGGAAGGAAGTCATCGTGTCCTGTGCCACCACATTTCAGGGCAGGACTCCAAGTAATTCAAGAATCTACATTTGAAATTGTTCTTCCAGGTCATTCTAAAAGTATATTTGTTGGCTGGGTGCGTTGGTTCACACCTGTAATCCTATCACTCTGGGAAGCCAAGGTGGGCAGACCACCTGAAGTCAGGACTTCAAGAACAGCCTGGCCAACATTGTGAAACCCCGTTTCCATTAAAAGTACAAAAATTAGCTGGGCATGGTTGTGTCTGCCTGTCGTTCCAGCTACTTGAGAGGCTGAGGCAGGAGAATCGCTTGAACCCAGGAGGCGGAGGTTGCAGAGAGCCGAGATGGCACCACTGTACTCCAGCCTGGGTGACAGAGTGACACTCCATCTCAAAAAAAAATAATAAATAAATAATAAAGGTATATTTATCAAGCTAGGATAATAAAACACATTTTATTTAACAGTTTATTCTCAAGTGAGGAGCACCTCTGCCCAGCCGCCCCACCATCTGGGAAGTGTGGAGCGCCTCTGCCTGGAGCCCAGCTGTCTGGAAAGTGAGGAGCTCCTCTGCCCGGTCGCCAACCTGTCTGGGAAGTGAGGAGCGACTCTCCTTGGTCGCCACAATGTCTGGGAAGTGAGGAGTGTCTCTGCCTGGCCGCTCCATTGTCTGGGAAGCGAGGAGCGCCTCTGCCTGGCCGCCCCACTGTCTGGGAAGCGAGGAGCGCCTCTGCCTGGCCGCCCCACTGTCTGGGAAGTGAGGAGCGCCTCTGCCTGATCGCCCCACCATCGGGGAAGTGAAAAGCCCCTCCCCCTGGCCCGCGCCTCCCGCCAGCCGCAGCACCATCTGAGAAGTGAGGAGAGCCTTTGCCCGGCTGCTGTGCAACCCTCCAAGTGTGAAGTGGCAGCCCTGTGTGTGATCTTTCTGCCCTCCCCAAGTTTGCATTTTCAATATTAAAGTTTACTTTTAAATTAGAAGTTTTAAATTGCAGAATTATATTTTTAGAAAAGTTTATTCTCTTGATTCATAACTTTGAAATATCTAGACGTATGGTACATGTCACGCCATTTCTGCTCTTTCCTGCACCTCCCAAATGTTTTAGTTGTAGCCAAAGTACACAAATCTAAGAAGATCCAAATGATCATCCTCACATTGACGGGTTCCTAGGCAGAGTAGGACTTTGGAAGACAGATGGGTTTGTCTACAGCCCACCTATCCAATGTGTAATAAAAAGAAGAACATATACTTCATAACTTGAAAAGGGGTGTTACAAAGGAAAATGTGGATTCTAGAAGGGAGAGCAAAAACAAATCAAGAACCAATCATTATGCAATTTGACAAGTGCTACGACAGAGGTGTAAGTAGAATACGTGTTAGCCCAGAGGAGTCAGAGAGTACCTCAGCAGGGAAGTTTCCACAGCGAAAGCTGGATGAGAAGGGGTTTTTAGAAAGTGGCCATTTCGACCAGGTGCAGTGGCTCATGCCTGTAATCCCAGCCCTTTGGAAGGCCAAGGTGGGTGGATCCCCTGAAATCGGGAGTTTGAGACCAGCCTGACCAACCTGGAGAAACCCCGTCTCTACTAAAAATACAAAATTAGCTAGGCATGGTGGTGCATGCCTGTAATCCCAGCTACTCGGGAGGCTGAGGCAGGAGAATTGCTTGAACCCGGGAGGCGGAGGTTGTGGTGAGCCAAGATTGTGCCACTGCACTCCAGCCTGGGCAACAAGAGCGAAACTCTGTCTCAAAAAAAAAAAAAAGTGGCCATTTCAATAGGAAAAAGGTTGGGAAGGACAGCCTGTAGCTCAGGCTGGCTGGAGGACTGAATGTGTAGAGGGAGTGCTGAGGGCCAAGGCTTCAGAGGTGGGCAGTACCAAGCCGTGGAGGGTCTTTATTTAGGAGTTCAACATTTCCCAAACTGCTCAGCAGTCATCTTGGTGCCAAAAGAGTTTACTAGAATATTGCCAAAATTTTTCTTCTAAAATCTATTTAAACATATATGTAAAAAAAAAATGTTAAGTGGAACTACTGGATGTCCATGTGTGGAAAAAAAAATCTAGACACAGACTTTATACTCTTCCCAAAAATTAATTCAAAATGGATCATAGACCTAAATGTAAAACCTGAAACTATAAAACTCCTGGGAGATAACATAAGAGAAAAATATAGATGACATTTTAGGTATAACATCAAGGGCACAACCCATGAAATAAATAATTGATAAGCTAGACTTCAATAAAATTAAAACTTCTGCTCTGCAAAAGACGTTGTCAAAAGAATGAGAATATAAGCCATTGACTAGAAGAAAATATTTGAAAAGAGACATCTGATAAAGGACCGTTATCCAAAATATTAAATAACTCTTAAAACAGCAATAAAAGACAACTCTATTAAAAATAAGCAAAAGACCTGAATAGACACCTCATCAAAAAAAGATATACAGATGGCAAATAAGGATATGAAAAGATATTCAACATCATACATCATTAGGGAATTGCAAATTCAAACAACGAGACACCACTATGTACCTATTAGAATGGCCAAAATTCAAAACAATGACAACACCAAATGCTTGCAAGGATGTGGAGTAATAGGAAATCACATTCATTACTGGTGGAAATGGAAAATGGTACAGCTACTTTGGAAGACAGTTTGGAGGTTTCTTAAACTTTAAACATACTTTTACCATACAATTCAGCAACTAAAACCCTGGGTATGTATCCAAATGAACTGATAACTTATGTGTACACAAAAATTTGCACAAGTATGTCTACAGCAGTTTTATTCATAATTGCCCAAATTTGAAAGTAATCAAGACATCTTCAGTAGGTGAATGGATAAACTGTGGCATGTCCAGACAATGAAATATTATTCAGTGATGAAACGAAATGAGCTATCAAGCCATGAACAGACATGAAAGAACCTGAATGCATATTGCTAAGTGAAAGAGCAAATCTTAAAATATTATATACCATATGATCTCAACTATATGACATGATGGAAAAGGCAAAACTATGGAGGCTCTAAAAACATCAGTCATTGTCAGGGGGGAAGGGAGAGAAAACGATGTTTAGGTGGGAGCACAGAGGATTTTTAGGGCAGTAAAACTATTCCATATGATCCCATAATGGTGAATGTATGTCATTACACATTTGTCCAAACCCACAGAGTGTACAATACCAAGAATAAACATAAACTATGAACTTTGGGTGGTAATGATGGTGTCAGTGTAGTGGTATAGTGTCAGTATATTACTTGGGAGTGGGATGTTGACAGTGGAGAATGCTGTATGCTGCCCAAGAGAGGATAGAAGTGTATGAAAACTGTGTATTTTTTTTCCCAGCTTAACTGAAGTACACTTGACAAAAATTGTATGTATTTATTGTGTACAATGTGATGTTTTGAGATACCTATACACTGTGAAATGACTACCACAATCAAGCTAATCAACATATGCGTATCTCACATAGCTACCTTTTGTGTGTTGAGAACCACTTAAGATGCACTTTCTTAGCAAATTTCAAATATACAATACAGTATTTTTAACTACAGTCAGCATGCTATGCAATAGATTTCTAAAACATATCATCTTGCATAACCGAAACTTCCTACCCTTTGGCCAACATCTCCCCATTTTCCCCCAACCCCCCAGCCCCTAGCAACTATCATTCTACTCTGCCTTTATGCATTCAACTTTGTTAGGTTCCATATATAAGTGAAGTCATGCAATATTTGTATTTCTGTATCTGACTTATTTCACTTAGCATCATGTCCTTCAGGTTTATCCATGTTGTGGTAAATGGCAGGCTCAAAAATATTCCATTATATTGCATACATTGTGTATACACACACAATGGAATACACACCCCTGCCCCCCCCCACACACATTTTCCTTTTCCAGTCATCCATCTACAAACACTTTAGGCTGTTTCCATATCTTAGCTATTGTGAATAATGCTGCAATGAACATGAAAGTGCAGATATCTTTTTGAGACACTGATTTCATTTCCTTTGGATATATACCCAGAAATTGGATTGCTGGATCATATGGTAGTACTATTTTTAATTTTTTGAGAAACCTCCGTACTGTTTTCCATAATGGCTATACCAATTTTCATTCCCACCAACAGTGTCCAGCGTTCCTTTTTCTCCACATCCTTACCAACACTTGTTATCTTTTGTCTTCTTTATAATAACCATTCTAACAGATATGAGGTAATATCTCATTGTGGTTTTGATTTGCATTTCTCTGATAGTGATATTGAGCATCTTTTCATAAACCTGCTGGCCATTTGTATGTCTTCTTTTGAGAAATGTCTATTCAGGCCCCTTGCCCATCTTTCAGTTGGGTTTTTTTTTTTTTGGCTAACTGTACTTTTTGCTCAGTTTTACTGTGAATCTAAAACTGCTCTAAAGAATAAAATCTATGTAAGACCAAAAGATCTAGTGAATAAGTAAATGGAGGATAACAGACAAATCTCCCATGCAGAAGAATTTCAAATAATGTATATAGTTACTCCACCCCAAAGGATGGGGAGCATAAATCCCTGCTTCTTAAGTGTGGCTGTATATACAGTCATTCCATCCTCTGATATCTTAGAGGGACTTATCTGAGGACCCTCACTGATATAGTTTGGATATTTATCCCTGCCCAAATCTCATGTTGAATTGTAATCCCCAGTGCTGGAGGTGGGTCCTAGTAGGAGGTGTTTGGGTCATGGGGTGGATCCCTCGTGGCTTAGTGCTATCTTTGCAATAGTGAGTGAGTTCTCACAAGATCTGGTGATTTTAAAGTGTGTGGCACCTCTCCCCACACCCGCTCTCTGTTGTTCCTGCTCTGGCCATGTGATGTGCCTGCTCCTACTTCACTTTTTGCCATGAGTAAAAGCTTTCTGAGGCCTCTCCAGAAGCAGATGTTGGTGCTATGCTTCCTATACAGCTTACAGAACCATGAGCCAATTAAACTTCTTTTCTTATAAATTACCCAGTCTCAGGTATTTCTTTATAGCAATGCAAGAATGGTGTAGTACAAAAAACTGGTACCAGAAGTGGGGCATTGCTTTAAAGATACCTGAAAATGTGGAAGCAGCTTTGGAACTGAGTAACAGGCAGAGAATAGAAGACACTGGAGGGCTCAGAAAAAGATAAGAAGATTAGGGAAAGTTTGGAACTTCTTAGAGACTTGTTAAATGGTTGTGACCAAAATGCTGACAGTGGTATGGACAAAGGCCATGCTGATGAGGTCTCATTTGGAGATGAGGAACTTACTGGGAACTGGAGAAAAGATCACCCTTGTTATGCTTTAGCAAAGAATTTGGCTGTATCATGTCCATGCCCTAGAGATCCATGGAAGTTTGAAGTTGAGGGTGATGAGCTAGAATACCTGATGGAAGAAACTTCTAAGCAGCCAAGTGTTTGAGATATAGCCTGGCTTCTTCTAACAACCTATGCTCAGATGTGGGAGCAAAGGAATGACTTAAAGTTGGAACTTATATTTAAAAGGGAAGCAGAGCACAAAAGTTTGGAAATTTTGCAGCCTGGCTATGTGGCAGATAAAGAAAAAACTTTTTTGGGAGAGGATTTCAAACAGACTATGGAGCAACCACTTGCTAGAGATATTTGCATAAATAAAACAGAGCAAATTGATCATGTCCAAAACAATGGGGGGAAAGGCCTTGAAGGAATTTCAGAGACCTTTGTAGCAGCCCCTCCCATTACAGGTCCAGAGGCCTAGGAAGGAAGAATGGTTTCATGGACAGGGCCCAGGGCCCCACTGCCCTGCATGGCCTTGGGACACCACTCTCCACATTCTGGCCACTCCAGCTCCTGCCGTGGCTCAAAGGAGCCCAGGTATAGCTTGGGCTGCTGCTCTGGAGAATACAAGCCCTAAACGTTGGCAGCTTCCATGTAGTGCTAAGCCTGCAGATGCAGAGTGCAAGAGTGGTGGATTCTTGGCAGCCTCCACCTAAATTTCAGAGAATGTATGGAAAAGCCTGGCTGTCAAGACAGAAGCCTGCTTATGGGGGCAGGGCCCTCACAGAGAACCTCTACTAGGGCAGTGCAGAGGGGAAATGTGGGGTTGGAGGCCCCCAGCAGAGTTCCCACTGGGCACTGCCTAGTGGAGCTGTGAGAAGGCAGCTACCATCCTTAAGACCCCAGAATAGTAAATCCACTGGCAGCTTTCACCCTGCACCTGGAAAAGCTACAGACATTCAACTCCAACCCATGGGAGCAGCCATGGGGCTGAACCCTACAAAGCCACAGAGGCAGAGCTGCTCAAGGCCTTCAGAGCCCACCCCTTGTGCCACTGTGCCCTGGGTGTGGGACATGGATTCAAAGGAGATTATTTTGGAGCTTTAACTTTTAATGACTACCCTGCTGGGTTTTGAACTATTGGGTTTTGAAAGGGGCCTGTAGCCCTTTTCTTTTGGCTGATTTCTCCCTTTTGGAATAAGAATGTTTACCCAATGCCTATACCCCCATTGTATCATGGGAGTAAATAATTGTTTGATTTTATAGGCTCATAAGTGAAGGAACTCATCTCTAGACGACACTTTGAACTTACTTGGGTCTTCTGAGTTAATGCTGGAATGAGTTAAGATTTGGGGGACTGTTGGGAAGGCATGATTATATTTTGCAATGTGAGGAGGTGACACTTGGGAGAGGCTGGGGCAGAATGATATGGTTTGGATTTTTTTTTCTGCCCAAATTTCATGTTGAATTATAATCCTCAATGCTGGAGGTGGGGCCTGGTGGGAAGTGTCTGGATCATGAGGGTGGATCCCTCATGGCTTGGTGCTGTCTTTGTGTGCTGTCTTTGTGATAGTGAGTTCTCATGAGATCTGGTCATTTAAAAATGTGTGGCACCTCCCCAGCTCACCCCAACTCTCTCTCTTGCTCCACCTTTCACCATGTGATTCCCCTGCTTCTGCTTCGCCTCTCATGAGTAAAAGCCCCTAAGGCCTCTCCAGAAGATGAGGAATGTCAGTGCCATGACTGTACAACCTGCAGAACTGTGAGCTAATTAAACCTCTTTTCTTCAAAAACTACCCACTCTCTGGTATTTATTCATAGCAACACAAGAATGGCCTAATATACCCACAGATCCACAGATATCAAAATCCACACATACGCAAGTCCCAAAGTGGGCCCTGACGAACTCAGCCATACACAAAGTCAGCCCTCCCTATCTGCTGGTTTCAAATTTCTCCAATACTGTATTTTCCATCCACATTTGGTTGTGAATGTGGAACCTGCGGATACAGAGGGCTGACTGTATTTATAAAAAAAATCTGCGTATAAGTGGACCTGTGCAGTTCCAACCTGCATTGTTTTTTTTTTTTTTTTTTTTTTTTTTTTTGAGACAGAGTTTCTCTCTTGTTGCCCAGGCTGGAGTACAATGGCACGACCTCGGCTCACTGCAAGCTCCGCCTCCCAGGTTCAAGCGATTCTCCTGCCTCAGCCTTCCGGAGTAGCTGGGATTACAAGCATGTGCCACCATGCCAGGCTAATTTTGTATTTTTAGTAAAGACGGGGTTTCTCCATGTTGGTCAGGCTGGTCTCAAACTCCTGACCTCAGGTGATCCACCCACCCCGGTCTCCCAAAGTGCTGGGATTACAGGCGTGAGCCACCACACCCGGCGCCCCAACCTGCATTGTTGTAGGGTCAACTGTACCGCCTTCCTTCCAAAGAATACAGTATGAAAAGCAGGAGATGGAGTAACTTTACAGTGGAGGTGGTTAAGGTCAAAATCAACAGTGATAAATTGTGTTGACAGTATATACCCTTGAATGATGTGATGAAAATAGTACCTTATCTCTGTGATCTTCTTGTTAAAAAAACCCATGATCTCAGTCACACAAGAAAAACATCAGACTGAGCACAGTGGCTCACGCCTGTAATCCCAGCACCTTGGGAGGCCAAGGTGGATGGATCCCCTGAGGTCAGGAGTTCAAGACCAGCCTGGTCAACATGGTGAAACCCTGTCTCTATTAAAAATACAAAAATTATGCTGGGCTTGGTAGCTCACGCCTGTAATCTCAGCACTTTGGGAGGCAGAAGTGGATGGATTATGTGAGGTTAAGAGTTTGAGACCAGCCTGACCAATATGGTGAAACCCTGTCTCTACTAAAAATACAAAAAGTAGCTGGGTGTGGTGGCAAGCACCTGTAATCCTAGCTACTTAGGAGGCTGAGACAGGGGAATTGCCTGAATCCGAGAGGTGGAGGTTGCAGTGAGCTGAGATCGTGCCACTGCACTCCAGCCTGGGAAACAGAGAGAGATTCTGTCTCTCAAAAAAAAAAAAAAAAAAAGAGCCGGGCACCATGGCTCATGCCTGTAATCCCAGCACTTTGGGAGGCCAAGGCAGCTGGATCATAAAGTCAGAAGATGGAGACCATCGGCCGGGCGCAGTGGCTCATGCCTGTAATCCTAGCACTGGAAGGCCGAGGCGGGCGGATCACGAGGTCAGGAGATCAAGACCATCCTGGCTAACACGGTGAAACCCCGTCTCTAGTAAAAATACAAAAAAAAAAATTAGCCGGGCGTGGTGGCGGGCACCTGTAGTCCCAGCTACTTGGGAGGCTGAGGCAGGAGAATGGCGTGAACCCAGGAGGCAGAGCTTGCAGTGAGCCGAGATCACACCACTGCACTCCAGCCTGGGTGACAGAGCAAGACTCCGTCTCAAAAAAAAAAAAAAAAAAAAAAAGAAGATGGAGACCATCCTGGCCAACATGGTGAAACCCCATCTCTACTAAAAATACAAAAATTAGGCCAGGTGCAGTGGCTCATGCCTGTAATTTCAGCATTTTGGAAGGCCGAGGCAGGCGGATCACGAGGTCTGGAGTTTGAGACCAGCCTGGCCAACATAGTGAAACCCCGTCTCCATTAAAAATACAAAAAAATTAGCCAGGTGTGGTGGCGGGCACCTGTAATCCCAGCTGCTCGAGAGGCTGAGGCAAGAGAATCACTTGAACCCAGGAGGTGGAGCTTGCAGTGAGCCGAGATCGCGCCACTGCACTCCAGCCTGGGTGACAGAGCAAGACTCTGTCTCAAAAAAAAAAAAAAAAAAAAAGATCCAATGACACTATGATGCAAATAAAGTGTTTAATGCAACAGCTGGTCTCGCACAGAGGTGCAGTTCACATTTACTGAATGAATGAGTGAGCAGATGAATAAAAGTTTCATGTGGCCTCTACCTCCAAGGGACCCCAGCTTGTCCTTCAACAGTATTTATTGGAAGTGCTAGGGAGGATTCGCTTGGAAATTTAATTTTGCCGGGTGCCGTGGCTCATGCCTGTAATCCTAGCACTTTGGGAGGCCGAGGCAGGCAGATCACGAGGCCAGGAGTTCAAGAGCAGCCTGATCAACATGGTGAAACCCTGTCTCTACTAAAAATACAAACATTAGCTGGGGGTGGTGGCATGAGCCTGTAATCTCAGCTACTTGGGAGGCTAAGGCAGGAGAACTGCTTGAACTCGGGAGGTAGTTGCAGTGAGCCAAGATCACGCCATTGCACTCCAGCCTGGGCAACAAGAGCGAAACTCCATCTCAAAAAAAAAAAAAAAAAAAAAGAAAGAAAAGAAAAAAGGAAAACATCAGACAAATCCCAATGGAGAAACATTCTACAAAATACCTGACCAGTACTCTTCAAAACTGTCAATCAAGGTTGTCAAAAATATAGTGAGAACCCATACGAAGTTTGAAAAAAAAAATTAGCTGGGAGGCTGAGGTGGGAGGATCACCTGAGCCTGGGAGGATGAGGCTGCAGTGAGCTGTGACTGCACCACTGTACCCCAGACTAGGAGACAGAGCAAGACTTTGTCTCAAAAAAAAAAAAAAAAAACTCAAAACAAAGCAAACAAACAAAAAGCAACAAATAAAGTCTGAGAAACCATCATAGTTAAAAGGGGCCTGAGGGGGCCGGGCATGGTGGCTCACGCCTGTAATACCAGCACTTTGGGAGGCCAAGGCAGGCGGATCACCTAAGGTCGGGAGTTCAAGACAAGCCTGACCAATATGGTGAAACTTCGTCACTACTAAAAATACAAAATTAGCCAGGCGTGGTCTCACATGCCTGTAATCACAGCTACTCAGGAGACTGAGTCAGGAGAATCGCTTGAACCCAGGAGGCAGAGGTTGTGGTGAGCCGAGATTGCGCCATTGCCCCATAGCCTGGGCAACAAGAGCAAAACTCCGTCTCAAAAAAAAAAAAAAAAAAAAAAAAAAAGGTGGGAGAGAGCCTAAGGAGACACAACAACTAATGTCTTGTGGCATCCTGGATAAGCCCTGCAACAGAAAAAAAAAAAATCAGGTAAAACCTAAGGAAATACAAAGCAAGTATGGACATTAGTTAATAACAATATATCAATGTTGAGTCATTAATTGTAACCAATGTGTGATACTGATGTAACACATTAAGAATAGCAGAAACTAAGTGAGATGTGAGCTGTGACTGTACCACTGTATCCCAGTGGGAACTCTCTATACTATCTGCAATTTTTCTGTAAATCTAAAATTATTCTTAAAAATGATGTTTATTTTTTAAAAAGATATTGCATACACTTAAATGGTTTTTACCCTACAGTATCCACTTGCCTTTAGAAATGGTGTGTCTATGGCTGGGTGTGGTGGCTCATGCCTGTAATCCTGGCACTTTGGGAGGCGGAGGAGGGAGGATCATCTGAGGTCAGGAGTTCAAGACCAGCCTGGCCAACATGGTGAAAACCCATCTCTACAAAAATACAAAAATTAGCCGGTCCTGATGGTGGGTGCCTGTAATCCCAGCTACTTGGGAGGCTGAGGCAGGAGAATTACTTGAACCCGGGAGGCAGAGGTTGCAGTGAGCTGAGATCATGCCATTGCACTCCAGCCTGGGTGACAGAGCGAGACTCTATCTCAAAAAAAAAAAAAAGAAAAAAAAAATGGTATGTCCACATAAGCATGGTGGGTGAAGTAAGTATCCATGCCTGTGCATAGTGGGAACTTTAAGGATGGGGGCAACACTTACCAGTCACTGATCATCTCTCCCTGATCACCTGACTGGGTAGTATTTGTCAATCACATTATGTTGTGTGATTTCAGCATGTATGGTTATGCTAGTCAGGGTTTGTTGTAGACTAAATATTTACACACCCATTCTCTGAAATTCTGTGATTGGTAGAAAGAGGGTGTGGGATAGTGGTTATTTGAGTTCACTTGGCTGCCACAGCAAAATACCGTAGGCTGGTGGCTTAAATGGAAGTTTATTTCTCATAGTTCTGGAGCCTGGGAAAACTGATATGAAGGTGCTGACAAGGTAGGTTTCATTGAGTCCTCTTCTCTTGGCTACCATCCGACTGTGCTCACATGACCTTTTCTTTGAGTGTACATGCAGGGTTTGGGGAGAGCTCTTAGGGGTCTCTTCTTATAAGGGCACTAATCCCATCATGAGGGCCCCAGCCTAATGACCTCATCTAACCCTAATTACCTTCCAAAGGCCCCATCTCCAAATAACATCACATAGGAGTTCAGGCTTCAACATATAAATTTTGGGAACAAAATCTATATTTGGGAACAAACATTAAGTCCATAACAGTAGTGAAGACCCCCAGGCTTTGGAGCCAAACTACCTTGATTCAAATCCTAACTTTACTCCTTACTAGTTTTGTGACTTTGAACAATTTACTTTGTGTCTGTCCTTCCATTTCCTCATCTGTAAAATGAGGGATATTAACAATGCCCACCTTGCAGATTGCCTTAAGGATTAAATGCAGCAATGTATATAAAGTGCTTAGAACAGTGTTGGCATGTAAATATCAGTCAGTGAATGCTATCTATTATCATTGCTATGATGTAGTTCATGAGCTCCTATTAGTATTTTTCTTTTTATAGAAAAAGTGTTGTGAAGTCAGATATGCCTGAGAAATGCTGCAACGAACAATGGGAAAGTTTTTTAAAAGGGTTTGAGTAGGGAGGGTCTACCTCTAGTGTTTTACTTTCTCTGCAGATGTACCCATCAAAGACACCCAGCAAGAATTGGCCATTTCCTTCCTTTGTTCATTACCTCATTAGTCGGCATAGAATATTATGTATTTGGCACGTTCTGATTTTAACTTAGGGAAAAAAGCTGAAGTTACACATTCAACTATATAATATTATTGTTCTCAGTGCCACCTCATATTCTTTTTCAGAGGCAGAGAATATGTAAATAAAAGCAGACATCTAGTAAATACAGCACTTAGTTATACATTCAATTTCATTTGAGTTCCAAGTACAATTTTAATTTCTTAACAAATGCCTACTTTTACTCCATGGTTAATTTTAATGGTCATTTTATTCCTCATCTAATACACATACCATAAATTTACTATCATAACCATTTTTTAAGTGTACAATTCAGTACAGACTGTATTTTTATTGTTAATGCTTGTTTTATGGGCCGACCTGCATTTCATTTGTGGACTGTGTAAACACAACATATACATAGCTCTCTCTCTCTCTTTTTTTTTTTTTTTTTTTTGAGATGGAGTCTCGCTCTGTCACCCAGGCTGGAATGCAATGGCACGATCTCAGCTCACCACAACCTCCACCTCCTGGGTTCAAGCAATTCTCCCACCTCAGCCTTCTGAGTAGCCAGGATTACAGGTGTGTGCCACCACACCCAGCTAATCTTTGTATTTTCAGTTGAGACAGGGTTTTGCCATGTTGGTCAGGCTGGTCTGGAACTCATGACCTCAGGTGATCCGCCCGCCTTGGCCTCCCAAAGTGCTGGGATTACAGGCATGAGCCACTGCGCCCAGCCTTTTTTTTTTTTTTTTTTTTTAATTATCAGATGCCTGGTAACCACACCCAAAGGAAAGCTATGGAATGTTCTGTTGTTTTGCTTTTTTTTTTTTTTTTTTTAATGGCTCAGCTCTGTTCAGGAAAAGGTTTAGTTTTCTAAGAAAATTCCAATAATCTGAATAATGATAATTGCTGTCTAAACCTCCCTACATAGTTGACGATGCATTGTTTCTCTCATACCTTATCTTTTGTATAAAAAGATAAACATCTCTTTGGTTCTGTTTGCCTTCTGGTAAGGAAAGAAGTTGCACAGAGAAAGGCTGTTCTCCGGCTAAGAAGGAACCAAGAAGAAGTTGCCAACATGGAGAGGCCCAGGGCATGCTGGAGAGGGAAGCAGAGAGGCCCAGGGCATGCTAGGAAGTAAAGCAGAGGGGCCCAGGGCATGCTGGGAGGGAAGCAGAGAGGCCCAGGGCATGCTGGGAAGGGGAAATGGAGAGGCCTAGGGACCTTGGCTGCTAGACAGCTTGCTATTCCAGGCTCCTCTTGAAAGCTCTTGTGCTCAGCTAGCTAGTCATTGTGACTCAGCTCTGCCTGCGAAGCGCCTACAGTCTAGTTGAGAAGGTAAGGTACATAAGTATAACTATATTAAAAAGCAGTTCGAGGCCACATTTAAATATATCAGCAAGTGAACAATACAGACAGTAAAAGCAGAAATCCTGTGAGTTGGAAGGTTAGAGGAAGCTTCGTGGGAGAAGTAGGATTCTCGATGAATCCTAAAAGATGGGTAGATTGTTGGAGAAACGGAGATAATTAAGGTCCCACTGCTAGGGAGATTGTATATAAGCAGAGGAGGAAATGAACGCAGCATGTTGGGAAAACCTATATTTCCCAAGCTATTTTATTATTGATTTTCATCATCTCCTGAACTTCAGTTGATTGGATTGGTTTTTGCCATTTTGTCATCATTCCTTAAATCTCCAGCGCAATCTCCAGCATTTACCTTTCTTTATTTCTGTGGACGAGAAACAGATCTGTCTTTTTGCCTTTTGGGGCACTGGCTTCCTGAGTGTAGAAGTCATGACTGTGATGTGCAGTATGCCTGGGAAAAATAAAAGGAGTTACTCCTTGCACCCAGGGTTAGACTTTCCTCATGGCAAGAGATTTTGGGGAATAGTTTTCGGCAGTGATCCCATCTTCAAACACTTCTGGGATACTCATGACTAGCTAACTCCTGCTGGCGGCTGCCTCCCATCACTGACCTCGAGTTTCTCCAGGAAGAGATCACATGTGGGGCTTCCATGACTGCGTTTATGCAACAGCAACACTGACCAGTCTGGCCACAGAATCAGAACTGGCTCAAGTCTGGACCCTGAAGGCATTTATCAACTTTCTGGTCTCTCTTGAGCTTCTAGGGTCTCAACCATTATCCTGGCCAAGGGATTTAGCCAAGAAGAAAGGGCATCTGGGCAAAATGCCATTAGGAAGGTTGTCCGCCAGGAAACAACACACGCTTTATTTATGGTCTTTCCTTTCCCCCCATCAAATCAGATTTTGCTTTCTCCCACTACTGAGGTGACAGAGACAAAGACTTGTGTTTAATATGCAAAAGCAGTAGCTTACATCCAAATTGCTATTATCCCTGCAAAAAGACTTCTTTCAGAGCTTTACAATCCTTTTGCTATTTACTTTCTTGCGTGGGTTACATTTACCTATTTTTTGCTGCGAGTTTTATATAGCTTAATCACAGAGAAAAAGAAGCAGTTCTATACTACTATTTCTTTTTTCTAACCAGTCATCCCATTGAATTTTTATTAAGAAAAATTCTACCTGGATGTAAAAAAAATTTTACATGAAGGAATTGCAAATAAGTATAAGAATTGCACATATGCATAAAAATAATTGTATTTTATTTTATTTATCTTACTTTCCAAAAGATGATAAAATCACTGACATATGCAAGTATAAAAGCACTATACGCCCTCAATTTTTGTTGGTTTCCTCTCTGTAAAATGGAAGGTTTGCCCTGCATAGATTATTTTTAAGTTTCCTTTGAGTTTAATATTCCTTGGTCCTACAGGAGGATATGGTGCTGTTGTTTTTGTTGGAAATTCAAGATGGTAGCATATAAAAAGAGGATTAGACAGAGAAACAGAAATTTGTCTTGGAGTAGACTGGCAACTACCATCTAAGACCCTTTTCTGTCTGGACAGGTCTTTGAATGGTCAGCATTAGCATAAGTGGAAGTAAGTCAGCAATTGCTCCATATTCACCTGGAGTTTAAAATTGGCAGCCAAAGGTTGCAAACTCAAATGCCTCCAGGGTTTGGAGGTTGGTACTGTAGGTGGGGGCCTGAGGGGAATGGTAGGAACCCCAGTCTGTAGGAGAGTGCTTGTCTCCTCCTTAAAAGTATCTAAGTAAATAAATAAATAAATAAAGGTGGCCCAAACACACAGACAAATCTCTGACTTTATTTAGCCTACAGGCTACTAGTTTCCTACCCTTAAATTCCATATCAGCCTATCTGTTCATTTTTTAAGTAAAGAATCTGAGGGACAGTAATTTGCCCAAGGTCAGACAGCAATTTAGTAGTATAGCAAGGCCAAGAAGCCGGACGTTTTGCTCTCTAAGTCAGTGTTCTTCCGTCTGGTTCTCTCTCAGCTCAGATCTGTCCCAGCAAGCAAGCCTGCTGATTGTCTAAACACTGAATAGACTGTGGCTTTGCTGCCTTTACCTGAACATTGTTTATAACAATAGCTACTTCATAAAGGTAAAAGTAGATTGCTATGGTTAGAATATGTGCCACAGAAATTAATGTGCTGGAGACTTGATCCCCAATGCAACAGTGTTGGAGGCGGGGCATAATGGGATGTGTTTAGCCCCAGAGGCTTGTCTCTTTCAAGCCCTTTTGAATGGACTAATGCTGTTATAAAAAGGGCTCATGGGATTAGATTCTTCCTCCCACCTTTCTTTCTCTTTCCTCTCTCCCCACCCCCCACCCCCAACTTTTTCCCTTCCATCTTCCATCTAGAAAGGATGAAGCAGGAGTGCCCTCACCAGATGCCAGTGCCTTGGTCTTAGACTTCCCAACCTCCAGAACTGTGATAACATAAATTTCTGTTCTTTATAAATTACTGTTCTTTATAAATTACTCAGTGTCAGATATTCTATTATAGCAGCACAAAACATACTAAGACATAAATCTATGTTAAAGTCACTTTCAAAAAGTGTTGATATGTTATTAATTCATTATTAAATCATGAACACTCTAGAACAGTGCCATTCAACAGCTCCATACTTAATTTTAAAGGACTTAGTAGAAACATTTTAACAAATAAAATCAATATATCAAAAATATCATCATTTCAACTTGTAATAAATATATAAAATTATTAATGGGATATTTACATTCTTTTTTCATAGAACTCTTCAAATCTGTTGAGTATCTTATAGTACATCTTAATTCAGACAGCCACATTTCAGGTGCTTGATAGCCACATATGGCCAGTGGCTACCATATTGGACAGTGTGGTTCTAGAAGGTTCCTTGTTTCATTCTCACCCTACTCACAGCCAACCAGGGAAGGGAGAAAGTTCCCAGAGGCTTGTCTCTTTCAAGCCTTCTATTGTTGGTTAATTAAATCCCTAAGCAACGGCTGAGTCACTTGCGACTGTGGAAGACAATTTAAGAAATCTATCTCAAAGCCAAGAACATAGCTCCCCACGTAAAAGGAGGGGAGGCAAGTCCTTTGAGCTAGATGCCTTGAAGGAAGAGTCTGTGCTGAGTCAGGTGCCCCTATGTAGGAGCGAAGGAGATAAGTCATTGCCAAGGGGACAGAGGAAAGCAGAGAAGAGAAATGGTTCTCCTTACGGTCACCATTTCCCTCCAGAGCCCCTGTGAAGGAGGGTCTATGGTGCTTAGTTCTCACTAAGAGAACTAAGCTCTCCATGAGGCAGGTACTATACTATTCTCATTTTATAGAGGAGGAAATCCAGGCAGAGAGGTCATGTACTTGCCTGAGGTCATGTAGCTAGTAATCAGCAAAGCTAGTGCTCAACACTCAGGTATGATGGACTTCAATACCAATTTCTTTTTTTTTTTTAATTTTGAGATGGAGTCTCGCTGCTGTCACCCAGGCTCGAGTGCGATGGTGCGATCTGGGCTCACCACAACCTCCGCCTCCTAGGTTCCAGCAATTCTCCTGCCTCAGTCTCCTGAGTAACTGAGATTACAGGCGCCTGCCACCACGCCTGGCTAATTTTTGTATTTTTAGTAGAGATGGGGGTTTCACCATATTGGCCGGGCTGGCCTTGAACTCCTGACCTCAGGTGATCCACCCTCCTGGGATTACAGGCGTGAGCCACCGCACCCGGCCTCAATACCTATTTCTTAACCACTGGGCTATATTAGGAAGTTCTGACACCATCTCCAAATATCACAGAGGGCACATGAACTTTTGCATAAAATGTGCATGAATGTTTGGTGTTTACATACAACTTATTACTGTCTACATGACTGAATGGTCTATTTTCAGGCAAATTTCCATCTAAAACAGTATCACTCCTTCCCAACACAGTTGGTTGCTTCTTAATCTTTCTTTTTGCTATTCATTTTCACCCATCCACTATTTCTGGTGGACTCCTGGGAGCAAAACTGTATGGGAAAATGGGAGACTCACATAGCAAAGAAGTAGGAGGTGAATGCCAGGAATCAGCAGGGCTGGCTATCTGTATAGGATTTGGCTGAATGTGGCATCTGATCTGGGATGGAAGAGGAGGGGAATATCACACATTTTGTTTGTCTCAAAATATCCTATCAACCTCAGTCCTGTAATTAGTGAGTTATTCCCACCAGGTAATTCATTTCACCAGAGGAAAGGCGTTTTCTCCAGAAGATCCCATTGAAATGAAGCAGGCCTAATGGGGAGGCCAGGTGGAATAGCAGCTGAGCCTGCAGTCTGTGGGGCTGTATTGCCTGTGTTTGACACCCTGCCCTGCCACTTTCCAGATGAGTCACTTTGGACAGTTTACTGAAATTTCTCTGCCTCAGTCTTCATTTAAAAACTGGATATAGCCAGGCGTGGTGGCTCACACCTGTAATCCCAACACCTGGGGAGGCCGAGACAGGCAGATCACGCAGTCAAGAGATCGAGACCATCCTGGCCAACGTGGTGAAACCCTGTTTCTACTAAAAAAAAAAAAAAAAAAAAAAAAAAATTAGCCGGGCATAGCGGCATGCGCCTGTAGTCCCAGCTACTCGGGAGGCTGAGGCAGGAGAATCGCTTGAACCCGGGAGGCAGAGGTTGCAGTAAAGCAAGATCGCGCCATTGCACTCCAGCCTGGCAAGAGAGCGAGACTCCGTCTCAAAAAAAATAAAAAATAAAAACTGGATAAAAAACTAGTTTTACATGATAGGACTTTCAGGATGATTAAAAGAGATGAGAAATATGAAGTTCCTGAAGAGTTAGCAGTCAGTAATCTTACGGTGCAATAGCATGAATGCCCAATTCAGTGGTCCTTAACCACTGAATCACCAGGAGAGTTCATTAAAATACAGGGACCCAGGCTTATTTTCCCAAGAGGGGGAAGGGTTACAAACAAGCAACATTTGTCCCTTGCCTTGGCTGGCATTGGTGTACCAGAATATTAAGTCCTTATCCATGTGGTGCCAAAAATACCAAGAGGCCAAGTGATGTCGTGGGAAAGGCATGGGCTTCAGTGTCAGACAGGTCTGTGATGAAACTCGGCCCAGTCACTTGCTGGCTATATGACCTTGGGGAAGGCTTTTCATCTCTCTGAGCCTCAGTTTCCCTATTTGTGTGGTGCAAATCATTATAGCTGTCTTTTTGCTTGCAGCGAGGATTAATTTAGGGCCAGCAGTGCCCAGTGGTCAGCTAATGTGGTTAGGATGGAGCCCTCACTTCATTTGACACCAAGGCCTCTCACAACATGGGAAATAGAGCTTCTGGGAGCATCCTTGGGAGCAACTGGGCTGTCCAGCTGGCACTGAATGGAACTGAATTTTCTACAGGAGGAACAGCTGCCAGGTCATTGGTAAGCTGGTCACTGAGGATTGATGCCGGCTCAGAGATATCACTAGTGGAGAAGCTGGTTGGAACAGAGATAGGCCGTAGGGAGGGGTCCATTGGCTTCTTGCTTACTACAAAATAAACTCCTTCTATTTCTGGGAGTTAGAACCCTTCATATTAACCTAAGGAGTATTCCCTCCATGCCAGTAGAACAAAAATCTCCCACCTAGGCTGCACCCTTTTGAAGAGGTAGATGAGTCCTATGAGTGGTGGGCCTGGTGGTGGTGGTGGTGGTGGTGGTGGTGGTGGTGGTGGTGGTGTTCCCTCCCACCTCATCAGGGGGAAGAATCACTTTGGAATCTCCCTCCATTCACTCTTTGATTTACAGTCTTATAAAGGAATGATTTAATTCTCAGCATTAAATGCACAGATTCACACACATTATACAAAAACCAATAATTCACAGGCAAGCCAGAAGAGATTCTGAGACTTAGTCTACAGAGATGACAGACACAGTGATTCTTTCCTCCCTATTTCCCATATTCCACCCCCAAATACCCTGCAGTAGTCCCCCATCTGTCCAGGTGAGGAGGAAGCCCTCAAAGAGGAAATCTCCCCTGCTGCTTCTAGCTCAAGATATGGCCAAATTTTATAAGATCTTTTTAGCCATAAGACATTCTAACAGGGGATACTGGGAATGGAGACAGAGGAGGGAGGCTTGGAAGTCAAGTTCAGCTTTCTTTGCAGTTGTTTCTTTGTTATTTACATTATGACTTTTCTTGTTTCTGAGCTGTTGTTGACATTTTGCCTTTATTCTGGCCATTGCTGCCTCCTACCCTGTTTCTAGGAGCACACACCTCACCTCTCTCTCTCAGTGTGCTAGAATGTAGCTCCTGGCCTGACTTATTCGTCTTTATATCCCCAGCACTTAGCACAGTTCCTGGCACCTCCACCTCCTCCATCATGACTGTTGACTGTGTGGAATGGCTTGTTATTGCACTGGCAGTGAGACTCACTTAAAGAAGGTGGCTTTGTTATGGTTTCCCTAAAAGGTGGCTCTGTCCTTATCTGGCTTGGCTGAACAGAGGGCAAATGGGACAGTGGGAGGAGAGGAATCAACAGTTTCCCAGTTTTTCCCCCAGGCAATGTGAAACACCTGGGATTTGGAACCTGAAACCTGAATTCAAGAGACCAAACTTCCACTAACTGGACGAACCTTGGGCCATTTACTCAAGCCCTCTGGACTTCAGTTTGTTTGTATCCTGGAAAATATAATAAGATTTTTCCCTTCCTGCCTTATAATCAAAGAAGCTGTGATGATGTAAGAAATAAGGTTTTGGAAAATGCTCTGTAAAGAACTGTGTGAATGACAGCTATTATTTTTCATAAAGTGATTTCTTTGGTGGGTTCATAGTGTTGTAGCTCAAATGTATTAGGCACCTACTATGTCCTAGGCATAGTGTGAGGTGTTTCAAGAAGTACATAATCAAGATGTAAAAGGAGTGGCGTGAAGACAGCTCAAAGAAGGGAGCCATTCATAGACAGCACCCACCCCGGGGGGTGTCATAGGTGCTTCTGTTGCGAAAACAGCCCAGAGCCTTTCATCCTTTAGAGTTTGAAGTAACATGGAAGGCATCCTCATTTGGCTTCAGGACACCCCCGGGCCAGTCTGTGAATGGCTCCCTTCTTCGGGCTGTCCTCATTTGCACCCAATGGTACTGGCCACCAACTCTAGGAATGTTGAGAATTAACCAAATACGATCTCTGCCGAAGCAACATATGGATCATGGAGACTGTGTGATTTCAATTATCAGTGTCTATTCTATTAATAATAGGTGTTGTAGGAGGAAAAAAAATAATAGTGTCAGCTAAAATTTGCTTTTACAAATAGGCCAGGCACTATTCCAAGTGATTTATATATATATATTCACTCATTTAATCTTTACAAGAATCCTACCAGGTAGGATCTGGTGTTATCCTCATTTTACAGATGGGGGCACTGGGACACAGAATGTTTAAGTAACTTGCCCCAAGCCTCTCAGACTGGAGCTGGGGAGCCATAATTTGAACCCAGGTAGTCTTGCACCAAAGAAAACGAGGCATGCTGCTAACCTTGACAGCAGCCTCTAGGACAGCCCATGGACTGTGCCCAGAAGGAAAAAAAGCATACTCCGAATGACAAAATAAGCTCTGGATGACCTCTTACTGATCACCATCTTTTCCCCAACACAAACTCCAGAAATACCAGGTCATTAGCAATTATGCAAGGGTTGAGGAGGAAGGAGGTTTTCCACTCTTTATTCCATTTCATTATACTTCTTCTTCTTCTTCTTCTTTTTTTTTTTTTTTTTTTTTGAGACAGGGTCTCGCTCTGTCTCCCAGGATGGAGTGCAGTGGGGCGATCTCGGCTCACTGCAACTCACTGCAACCTCCACCTCCTGGGTTCAAGTGATCCACCTGCCTCACCTCCCTAGTAGCTGGGACTGCAGGTGTGTGCTATCACTCCCAGCTAATTTTTTTTTTTTTTTTTTTGTATTTTTAGTAGAGACAGGGTTTCACCATGTTTGCCAGGCTGGTCTTAAACTCCTGACCTCAGGTGATCCGCCTGCCTTGGCCTCTCAAAGTGCTGGGATTACAGGCATGAGCCACCATGCCTGGCCTATACTTCTTATTTAAGAACAACTTGGCCTGGCGCGGTGGCCCATGCCTGTAATCCCAGCACTTTGGGAGGCCAAGGCAGGCGGATCATGAGGTCAGGAGTTCGACACCAGGCTGGCCAATATGGTGAAACCCCATCTCTACTAAAAATACAAAAATTAGCCGGGCATGGTGGCGCGTGCCTGTATTCCCAGCTGCTCAGGAGGCTGAGGCAGAAGAATCACTTGAACCCAGGAGGCGAAGGTTGCAGTGAGCCGAACTCATGCCACTGCACTCTATCCTGGGTGACAGAGTGACTCTTATCAAAAAAAAAAAAAAAAAAAAAACTAAAAAAAAAAAAAGATAAAATCATGACTCTCCTACAGATATAAAATGAAGACATCACTATGGTTTGAATATGTCCCCTAAAAAGCGTATGCTGGAAACTGAATTCCCAGTGCAACAGTGTTGGGAGGTGGAGTGGAGCCTGATGGTGGGTGTTTAGGTCATGAGGGCTCCACCATCATGAATGGATTAATGCTGACTGTGAAAAGACTCGCTGCTGCCAGTCTGAGCTCTCATTCTCATCACGTGATGTCTTCTGCTGTGTTACGATGCAGCAAGGAGGCCCTCACCAGATGCAGCCCCTGAATCTTGGGCTTTCCAGCTTTTAGAACTGTAAGCCAAATACATTTCTGTTCATTACAAATTACTCAGCCTGTGGTATTCTGTTATAGCAGCATAAAATGGACTAAGGCACACATGTTAGGGATTTTTTTTTTTTTTAAAGACTGAGTACTGCTCTGTCGCGCAGGCTGGAATGCAGTGGTGCGATCTCAGCTCACTGCAACCTCTGCCTCCTGGGTTCAAGTGATTCTTCTGCCTCAGCCTCCAGAGTAGCTGGGACTACAGGTGCATGCCACCACGCCCAGCTAATTTTTGTATTTTTAATAGAGATGGAGTTTCACCATGTTGGCCAGGCTGATCTCGAACTCCTGACCTTGTGATCTGCCCACCTCAGCCTCCCAAAGTGCTGGGATTACAGGCATGAGCCACCGCACCCAGCCACATGTTAGGGATTTTTAAAACTCAGAACTGGATTGAATTTGGGGCTTTGCTGCTTACTAGCTGTAGTAACTTAAATGCATTTCTTAACCTATAAAAAGGAGATAGATACCACATGGACAGCAGTGAAGATTAAATGAACCAACCTATGGCTATGAGGAAGATTTCTGATGCAGGTAACAGAGCCCCCAACTTAATATGATATAACACAATAATAAATTATTATATCACATGCTAGGAAGTCCAGAAATATCTCAGGCTCCAGGGGAGAATACTCGGTTCCGCCCTCCCGTAGGTGTTACATTCATCCTTAGGTTGATAACAAGATAACTGTAAGAGTTTCAGGAATCTCATCTAGAAATAAAAACCAGAGAGAAAGGTCATCTCTTTCTGTGTCTCTTTCACACAATCTTTCTTTTCCAGAACTTTCCTTCATGCTTCATTGGCCAGTGTTTTGTTATTTGACCTTTCCTCAACAAGTCCTTGGCAAGGGAGATGGAAATATCATGACTGGCTTAGACTAATCAATACTTACTTTCGGAATTGGAATGGGGTCACCTTTCTCTGGGTTTCAAAAGGAAACAATAGATGAACAAAATTGAGGTTCTGTTAGCTAAAATGGAAGAATGGAGAAATAGAAGTTGAGTAGGCCACCCGTAGGTTCCACTATCATCAGCAAATGCCCAGTATAAAGATTAATACCCAGCAGGTATATGTCCAAGAAATGTTAGTCATCACTTTTCTCAGTGACACCTGAACGTGATGTACAAAGACTGGTTTGAAGGCACATCTTCATGCAGCTCTTAACTCAGAAATCAAGTCATCTGACAGGTGCCGATGAAAATTTTTTCAGAAACTTCAGATGGACAGCTTCCAGAAGTAGATGCTGGCTCTTCACAACTTGCCGCACATTGCACAGCACATTACGTTGCCAAGCAGGTATCTTGGGATTGGTGGGTTGCTCCTTCTGCTTAGAGGCCCCAAGCATCTGGTGTTTCTCTCTTCTGTGTTGGCGGATCCTCTGAACTTTGATACAGTCTTCATTCCACAATTGGCAAAGAAAATCTCCTCTGGGATACAGCCCACACACGCCTCACGCCTGGGGAGGCATGACTCCCGGCCCTGTCCTTTCACTTCAAATGAAATATAATAAATATGAAAGGAAACCAAAAGACAGGCAGACAAAAAGCATACTCAGAAAGACAGAATGAGAAAACACATATACGCTCACAAAAGCAAGGGAGAACAAAAGAGGGCAAAGGGCAGACATCTCTGTGTCCACTGGAGCTCTGAGGAATCAGAATTTCTAAAGCTTTTTTTTTTTTTTTTTTTTTTTTTTTTTTTGTTGAGACAGAGTCTCGCACTCTTGTCCTCCAGGCTGGAGTGCAATAGCATGATCTCTGCTCACTGCAACCTCCGCCTCCAGGGTTCAAGCGATTCTCCTGCCTCAGCCTCCCGAGTAGCTGGGATTACAGGTGCCCGCCACCATGCCTGGCTAATTTTTTTTGTATTTTTAGTAGAGAGGGGTTTCACCGTGTTGGCCAGGCTGGTCTCGAATTCCTGACCTCAGGTGATCCGCCCACCTCGGCTTCCCAAAGTGCTGGGATTATAGGCCTGAGCCACCGAGCCCGGCCTCTAAAGCTATTTTTTAAAATGTAAAGATTTATGAGTTATCCTCTCCTTCCTGATAGCCCTCTTTTCAGCAGTTACTTTATTCGTATTGAGGCAGGAGGATGAACAAAGGATCTTTCCTCCTCAAGAAACACCCCCTCCTTCCTCAGTTCCACACCCCTGCCCTAAGAATCCATGACTCCAGGAAATATTTTCAGATAAAACAATTCCAGTTACTGGAAAATTGCAAGGCTTTCCTCTGTGGGTTTACAACAGCCTGGCCTCTGACCCACCAATAAAAGAGATTTACTAAGTGATAGTAACACCTTTCATGTAGTCTCAACATGAGGCAAGTCACTTTATCTGTCTCAATCCAGGCTCCTCAGGCTCATAATGGTGAAGGTTGGAATGGATTAGTGGTTTTGAGTGTATGTGCGTATGTTTGTATGTACATGCATATTAAACTATGTACATCGTATATAGTTTATGTATATGACCCTCCTTCACAGGGGCTCTGAAGGGAAATGGTGACCCTAAGGAGACCCATTTCTCTTCTCTGCTTTCCTTTGTCCCCTTGGTAATGACTTATCTCCTTCCTTCCCACACTGGGGCACCTGACTCAGTACAGACTCTTCTTCCTTCAAGGCATCTAGCTCAAAGGACTTGCCTCCCCTCCTTTTTACATGGGGAGCTATTACATATTAAACAACAGAACATCATTTCAAATGCCAACATCTTATGTGGCACTTCAACATAAAAACAGGTAAAGGCAAGTGCTTTAATTGAAGGAAGGTGAGCATGGAAGGAGTGGAGTAAGAGCAGGAGGAGTCTTTGAAATCCTTATCTTTGGCCACAGCAGCCTCTTGAAGTGTGGCCCCAGGTGGGGCTTCCTCGGGCAATTTGATAACCATTGATCTAGCTACTCTCTAAGGCATTGTAGATCTAAAACACAAAGGTCTTGCTCTGTCTTTATCAAAAAGAAAGTCTGATTCCTCCCTGTGGATTCACACAGTAGCACAACATACCTTGAAGTGGAGAAGGAAGACAAGAGCCAGGAGGGCAAAAATCTCCTTCCTAACTCCATTTCTATCTTCTTTGGAATTCTGAAAAAAAACAAACAACAACAAAAAAAAGATAGTGAATGGTACAGGGAATAATATAACTCATACCTACCACCTGTAAGGTTAGCGGAGAGAAAGTACAAGAAAGAGACCCAAGGTTAAGTGAGGAAGTTTATTAACCTACTGGCTGCCCACTTAACAGTCAGAGAGGAAGCAGCCCCAAGCTTACAGAATGAGGGGTTTATATTGGGGAGGGGAGTTTGAGGGAGTTCTTTGGTGTGGCCACATCCCAAGGTTGTTTGCTGGTTAATTTTGCCACATATCACCTTGTGACGTTTATTACAGGAGGGTGTAGGTAAAGTTTGTTTATGCTTCCCATAACCTCCCCCTTTGCTGTCTGGATGGTTTGTAATTGGAGTTTGCTTATTACAGCAAGGTCTGGTAAGTGAAATCTGCTGGCTTCACCGCGGTGCCTAGATAAGGGCTTAGAAATGTAAAGTGACTTGGGGGAAGGAGAAGAGTTGCAGAGCATTAGCGGGAGAGGTGGGCAGCACGGAGAGGTTTGAAGGGGAGTGTCGGCAGTACCAAGAAGCTTTTGGGGGCAGTTTGTTTCTAACACCACCCATAATCATAAAATGACAATTTGACATATTTGTCTCAGATAACTTTTTTATTCTTTTATTATTTTTTTTGAGACAGGGTCTTGCTCTGTCGCCCAGGCTTGAGTGCCATGGCATGATCTTGGCTCACTGCAACCTCTGCCACCCGGGTACAAGCGATTCTCCTTCCTCACCCTCCCGAGCAGCAGGGATTACAGGCCCACACCACCATACCTGGTTAAGATAAGTTTTTGTTTGTTTGTTTGTTTGAGATGGAGTTTCACTCTTGTTGCCCAGGCTGGAGTGCAGTGGCGCAATCTCGGCTCACCACAACTTCCGCCTCCCGGGTTCAAGCGATTCTCCTGCCTCAGCCTCCCGAGTGGCTGGGATTACAGGCATATGCTGCCATGCCCGGCTAATTTTGTATTTTTAGTAGAGATGGGGTTTCTCCATGTTGATCAGGCTGGTCTTGAACTCCTGACATCAGGTGATCCGCCTGCCTCGGCCTCCAAAAGTGTTGGGATTACAGGCGTGAGCCATTGCACCCAGCCATTGCACCCAGCCGATAAGTTTTTTTAAAGTAAAGAAAACCTGGCAGATGAAGTTCTCTTAGTTCATCACTCTAATCCTATTTTCCTCCTTCTCTCTTCAGTTAAACGCTACCATGACTGACTAATGCCTGCCCCCAACTCCCCCACCCAAAAGATGTTCACTTACCAACCCCTGGAGCCTGTAAATATGTTGCCATGGCAAAAGAGATTTTGCAGATGTAATTAAGGATTTTGAGATGGGGGAGATTATTCGGGTTAGCCAGCTGGACCCAATATAATCACAAGGGCATTTATTGGAGGGAGGCAGGAGGTCAGAGGCAGAGAAAGAGATGACACAATGTTGCATGAGGTCGGTGATGATGAAGCAGAGGCTGGTAAGATGCATCCAAGAGCTAAGAAATGCAGGCAGCCTCTAGAAGCTGGAAAAGGCAAGTATTCTCCTTTAGATCCTCCAGAAGGAACACAGCCCTGCTTACCAACTGTAGACTTCTGTGTTGTTTCCAGCTATTAAATTTATGCTGATTTGTTACAGCAGCAATAGGAAACTAATACAATGAGCTGGGTGAGTTTCCATCTGCTCCATGGTTTTTTTTTAATGTTTATTTACTTACTTATTTATTTATTTATTTATATGAGATGGAGTCTTGCTCTGTCACCCAGGCTGGAGTGCAGCAGCACGATCTCGGCTCACTGCAAGCTCCACCTCCCGGGTTCACACCATTCTTCTGCCTCAGCCTGCCGAGTAGCTGGGACTACAGGTGACGGCCACCATGCCCGGCTAATTTTGTTTTTGTATTTTTAGTAGAGACGGGGTTTCACAGTGTTAGCTAGGATGGTCTTGATCTCCTGACCTCGTGATCCGCCTGCCTCAGCCCCCCAAAGTGCTGGGATTAGAGGTGTGAGCCGCCGCACCTGGCCTCCACGTTTTTTACTTGGACTAGTTGGATAGACACATAGAAATAGAGAAGATAATTTTGTTTTATGTACAGTCACCTGATGTTTTTGAGAATATCCATTTGACATGTAAATATTGAATTCATCCAGTTTAATTGCAATATGGTATTTTGTCATGACTGTACCACAGTTTGTTTATGTAAGTCTCTAAAATGGACTGGGTGCATGGCTCACGCCTGTAATCCCAGCACTTTGGGAGGCCGAGGCAGGTGGATCACGAGGTCAGAAGATCAAGACCATCCTGACTAATACAGTGAAACCCTGTCTCTACTAAAAAATACAAAAAATTAGCCGGGTGTGGTGGTGGATGCCTGTAGTCCCAGCTACTCGGGAGGCTGAGGCAGGAGAATGGCGTGAACCCAGGAGGCGGAGCTTGCAGTGAGCTGAGATCATGCCATTGCACTCCAGCCTGGGCAACAGAGCGAGACTCCATCTGAATAAAAAAAAAAAAACTGTCTTAGTGAGCTTGGGCTGCTATAATGAAAAATCATAAACTGGGTGGCTTAAACAACAATGTATTTCTCACAGTTCTGGAAGCTAGGAAGTGCATGATCAGGCACCAGCAGATTTGGTGTCTGGTGAGGGGTTTCTGGTTCATAGACGGTGCCTTCTAGTTGTGTCCTTACCTTGTAGAAGGGAGGAATGAACTCCCTTGGGCATATTTTATGGAGACACTAATCCCATTCATGAGGGCTTCACCCTCAAGACCTCATCTAATCCTAATTACCTCCCAAATATCACATCTCCTACTATTGTCACATTAGGGGGTAGGATTTCAATATATGAATTTTGGAAAGCCTAGAGCATTCAGTTTATAACAATAACACATGTTTATTCTAGTTGATTCTGTGGCTAGTTGGGTGATTCTTCTGGTCTGAACTTGTTTGGTTGGGGCTGGATGGTCTAGGAGGGCCCCACTCATATGTCTGGCCTCATGTGGAATCCCAGGACTGTGGGTAGGGCTGGAGCTTCTTTCCGTGTAGTGCTACCAGGAACAGCTTGTTGACATGGTGCCAGAAGGGTTCCCACAAGCAAGAGCCTCTGCTTGCATGACATTTGCTATCATCCCGTTGGCCAAAGAAGGTCATATAGCCAAGCCCAAATTCAGCAGGTAGAGAAACAGACTCTACTGCTTTTTGAGAAGCGGGGCAAAATCACATTGCAAAGGAGCATGCATGCAGAGAGACAAGATAAATTGGAGGGTATTACTGTAACAACCTAACTTAGCTGATAATAAGAATCCAGCTTCTAGTGTGCTTAGAAATCTCAAAATTCATCTCAATTCAAAAAGTATGCTCATTTTCAACTATGGTCTCTGCATGCCGTAAAACTTAACTTCTTGTGGCATGCCAGGCTACTTCCCCCAGGAGCCTTTCCCGTGCTGTTTGCTCTGCCTGGAATGCTCCTCCCCTCTCCGTGCCAGGCTAATTATTATATTTCCTTTAAGTCCCTTCCTAAAGTCACTTCCTTAGGGAGCCTTTCCTGACTCTTCAGACCAGGCCAGGTCTCCTGTTCTACACACTCAGGGCACCACAGATGCTGTATTTACAGCACGTACCACCACTGTCATGAATTACTTTGTTGTACAATTATTTGTTTAATATCAGTCTCTCTCTCTTTCAACCTCAACCAAAGGAGCTCCAGGGCAGAGACTGGGTCTATCTTGTTCACTGCTGAATTGCCAGCATCTAATACAATGTCTAGCATGGAGTAAGTGCTCAGAATTGGAGGAATAAATGGATGAACCTATGAATGAATGGCCTGCAATGTGCTCAGCATGGAATAGGCCTGTTTAAAAACAGGTTGGAGTAGCAGATATGGAAAACTGCAACCTGGTGGGGAGTGAAGACTGAGTTGTACAAAATGATTGAGAACAACTCAGAACCAAATAGAGGGTGAAATACCAGATGCTGGGCTGCAAATGCCATGGAGATTGGGAAGAAGGGATCAGGATAGATCAGGTGGTCACAGAAGGTCATAGAGGGTAGCATTTGAGTGAGGTCCAGAGGAGGAGCAAGATTTCGAGGCAAGGATTTAGAGGAGGAGCAGGACTTAGAGGCAGTTTGTAAGGAGGCTAATATATTAAGGTCATGAGTTTGCTCCTCTGTAGTTCCTATTCTACTCATATCCTCATAAGCTCTTTATCATAAGAGAAAGTAGGCAGGAGAGTAAGGGGAGACGGTTCAGTGGAGCCAGTCCTACTGTTATTGAAACAGCTCCAGGAGGTTATGTTTCAGAGGAAACTGCAAAGTTGTGTCATCCACACATGCAAAAAACAGCTCATTTAGAGACCAGAGAGATTCCTCTGAGCCACTGAAACAGAACAACGGTAAACATCTGCTTCTACTCTTCTGGAAACATTGTGGTTTGGATGCTCTGTCTGTCACTCCTCTGCTCTTTTGCTTTTAACTATTTATTATGAAAACTTCCAAACCTACACAAAGAAAAGAGTTTAAGAAATTCCATCACCAACTTCAAAAAACATCAATACTTTGTCACATTTGTTCCATGTCTCTCCCTCCCAACCCTAAGTTTTTTTTTCTCCTGAAGCATTTTAGAGCAAATCCTAGATACCATGTTATAACACTCCGAAATACTTCAATACAGATATCTAAAAGAAATAAGGGCATTTTCTTATGTAACCACAACACCTTTTCATACCCAACAAAATAAAGCATAATTTGTCAACATTCTTTAACACCCAGTTCATATTCAAAATTTCTTGATTGTCTAAAAAAATGTCTTTTTACAGTTGGTTTCTTTGAATCAGAATCTAAACAAGATCCTCACATTAATTTAATATCTCTTAAATCTCTTTAAATCTAGACTTTGGACGTTCTCTTTCAGCTGGGGCTTTCTTTACCAACAACCAGCCTCAGCCCTCGCAGTCTTTATCTCGCTCCTGGATTGGCAGGGAGCTGAAAGATCAGAAGCAGGAGGAATGAAGTCAACACAGTGAGAGGGTGGGAGGGATGGTGTGAGTATCAGATGCCTAAGATCTTATGAAAAAAAATTCCTAATCAGCTTCAGAAGAAACAGATTAGAATAAGAGACTCTTAAGAACTGGAGTTGACCTGCATGCTCTCCTAACACCTAAGAATGTCAAGAATTTACAGAGATTATAAGAGGCTGATTCCTGTGGGCAAGAGAGGGAGGGCAACAGAAAGGAAATCACGATGAATCTAATGGACAACATACAAGCATAGGCAGGACCTAATTTACAGGGCCCAGTGCAAGATAAAAGTCTCAGAGCCCTTGTTCAAAAATTATTAGGAATTTCAAGATGGCAATAGCGGTGCATCGAACCAAGCACAGGGCCCTTCAAAGCACAGAGACCTGTGTGACTCCACAGGTTACATGCCTGCCTTTGTGAAACTGGCCCTGTGCAATGGGTGGCCGAGTCTAGGAGGCCCCAGGGAGTTGTCCTACAAGATAATACTCTACCAACACATGTCTCGTTTGCATTTCAGAGACAAGCAAAGGCAGTGGGAATTGTTTCCATATCTCTAGTCACCACCAGCATCTCAGACTTGTCAGGATGTCTAGGGATGGTGAATGGCTTTTAGAGGTCATAGAGATCCACGCTGCATAATTGAATTCTAAACCATGGATAGTGGTGGGTTTGGACCCTCTGGCCTTTATGCTTGTCTCTGTGAGTATAGGCTCTAGAGCCAGAATGCCTGGGGTCATAGCCAGGCTCTATCACTGTGTAACCTTGGTCAGTTACTTGACCTCTCTGTGCCTGTTTTCTCATCTATTAAATGGGGTTAATAAAGATACCTACCTCAGGCCGGGCGTGGTGGCTCACGCCTGTAATCCCAGCACTTTGGGAGGCCGAGGCGGGTGGATCACGAGGTCGGGAGATCGAGACCATCCTGGCTAACACGGTGAAACCCCATCTCTACTAAAAATACAAAAAATTAGCCAGGCGCGGTGGCAGGCACCTGTAGTCCCAGCTACTCGGGAGGCTGAGGCAGGAGAATGGCATGAACCTGGAAGGCGGAGCTTGCAGTGAGTGGAGATCGCACCACTGCACTCTAGCCTGGGCAACAGAGCGAAACTCTGTCTTGAAAAAATAAATAAATAAATAAATAAATAAATAATAAATAAAATAAAGATACCTACCTCAAAGGATTGTTGAATATTAAATTGGTTTATATTTGCTGCACATGGCAAGCACGATGTGTTTGTTAAAACAAGATAAATCCAGAGGCTAGAGCTGTACAGGTCCAGGCAGATATCTGGTAATGGTGAAACCTTCAGGATGAACTGACTCTGCTTTTCTAGGGGAGAGAGGCTGTGCCTACATCCTGATCCAGCTCCCCAAAAACATACACAATGGTCATTCACTCAGTAAGTGTTCATCAAGTGCCTACCATGTATCAGGCACTCACTGAGTAGAGAGTGAGCCAGGCATGGTTCTGTTCCTTAAGGTGCTGACCTCTAGCATAGGGAGGGCTCCACCTGCAAAGTCAGTTGTGCCTCTAGGTCTAGGAGCAGACCTTGTTCCAGGTAGGAGGAAGGAGATACTCTCAGCCAGTAGCCCATCAACGAGGTAGTTCTGCAGCTAGTAAGCATGATTTGACTTCAGTATCCTGAGTCCTTGTTCCCAGTCTGCTTTATGATATTCTGCTTTGACCAAACACCTGCCTAATAATTCAGCATTTCCCATCTAAGATTCAGTATTTTATTTCCTGCCCCAAAACTCAGACACTCCCAGTCTGACTTCTAATCCCTGCTGTTGAAACCCCTGAGATGCTGTTACCTGCTTCGCTCCTCCCCTTCTTTGAAGGGGTTCTCAGGACCTTGAATTTGGTTTGGGCCACCATTGGTTAACAGTGATCGTGTCGTTAAGAAAGACAATGGAGAAGGTGGCTGGGGCACAATGCCAGGACTTTTTATGGCCTTCTCAGGCTGTCCTGGGCCCATGTGTGTCCATCTCTCCAGTAACTAGTCTCTGACCCTGTCCTCATGTCCTTAACACCTGGCCACTCCTTGACTGCACAGCTGCACAGACTTAGATTCCCATCTCACCAACATTCAAGCCCAGGATCTGAAGGATTCCGGTAGGGGAGGCTGCAGGAGCCCTTAGGAATGTCAGTTTGACATTGAAACAAGTTTTTTCCCTCAACTAACAAATTCTTGGCCCTCTGCTAAGGCCTTTGAGGGGGAGTTTGTGGCAGGATGGCCATGGGAGGATAATGCAGAGTCATGGAGATGGAAGGAGGGTCATGGATAAAGACACCAGCTGCTTTCCTTTGGCTGACATCAACCCTGAGGCCATTCTGAAACTGCTTTACTTGGCAGCCTGGAGACACTGCCTAGAATATCACCATCCCAGGCCAGGCATGGTGGCTCATGCCTGTAATCCCAGCACTTTGGGAGGCCGAGGCGGGCAGATCACAAGGTCAGGAGTTTGAGACCAGCCTGACCAACATGGTGAAACCCTATCTCTACTAAAAATACAAAAAAATTAGCCGGGTGTGGTAGCATGCACCTGTGATCCCAGCTACTCAGGAGGCTGAGGCAGGAGAATCGCTTGAACCTGGGAAGTGGAGGTTGCAGTGAGCCAAGATCACACCACTGCACTCCAGCCTGGGCGAAAGAGCGAGATTCTGTCTCAAAAAAAAAAAAAAAGAAAAAAGAAAAAAAAAAGAATACCATCATCCTAGCTGAAGGCCTCCAGGCAACTGGACTCTTCAGATAGCTGGTGATAACAAATGGCAGGTGGAAGCCAAGGGAGAACTTTTCACATATCCTTCAACTTCCCCAATCTCATTTTAGAATTTCTGAAGTAGTGACAATTGGGGGGAAAAAAGTTTCTCCAGGGTCACTTTGGAAGAAGCAATGTATATTAATTTTCTCCTTTATAGCCACTGAATGATGGCAGGTTAGAGAGTGGCAGGTCCTGTTGATGAAGTATTAATATTACTGCAACAGGCTGGTCAACATGGTGAATCCCTGTCTCTGCTAAGAATACAAAAATTAGCCGGGAGTGGTGGCGGGCACCTGTAATCCCAGCTACTTAGGAGGCTGAGGCAGGAGAATCGCTTGAACATGGGTGGCAGAGGTTGCAGTGAGACAAGATCACGCCATTGCACTCCAGCCTGAGTGACAGAGTGAGACTCCGTCTCAAAAATAAATAAATAAATAAATAAAATAAATAAATAAAAATATTACTGCAACAGCAGAGAGCCAGACCCCACAAGGGTGATGGCAAGAAAATTGGTGAGGAATTCGATGCGTAAATCTTGGGTTGCCTCTGAATCCTTTGGCCCTGGGGAGGGAGAGCAGAGCCCACCCTGAGAAGAGGCCAAGCAAGAGGACAGACAATGGGGAAGGAGGCCAGGTCACAGTGCCAGGACGTTTTATCCTATTAGGCCACTGCATTCCTGCAACTTCTGAATATACAACCTAAATCTTTTTTTTTTTTTTCTTGAGACGGAGTCTCACACTGTCACCTGGGCTGGAGTGCAGTGTGTGTGTGTGTGTGTGTGTGTGTGTGTGTGTGTATAGTGTATTTTAGGATGTAGGCTGGGCACAGTGGCTCTTACCTATATTCCTAACACTTTGGGAGGCCAAGGCAAGAGGATCACTTAAGCCCAGGAGTTGAAGACCCGCTTGGGTAACATAGCGACACCTGCCTCTACAAAAAAATTCTTAAAAATTAGCTGGGTGCAGTGCAATGCACCTGTAGTCTCAGATACTGGGAGGCTAAGGTGGGAGGATCGTGTGAGCCCAGGAGCTTGAGGCTGTAGTGAACTGTGATCATGCCACTGCACTCCAGCCTGGGTGACAGAACAAAACCCTGTCTCTAAAAAATTTTTTAAATTATCGAATTTTTAAAATTTTGTCCTATTAAACTATAATATGCCTTAGGGAAGTCACATTTTTTAATTCTCTCCCACCCTTCCATTAGCCCTTGGCTGTTGTTTAGGAGATAATTTTGATTAATTAATTTGTTGACTGACCCTTTAAGATATCAACATCAATTGTTTTAAAATCTTAGTTTATAGAAAAAATGTTAGCCTAAAGACTGACTCCATTTGTCCCTCATACAGAAGCCAAGAGTTTCTGTTAAGATTTAGGTTGTATAGGCCGGGTGCCTATATATCCATATATACATATGTGTGTGTGTGTGTGTGTGTGTGTGTGTGTGTGTGTGTGTATCTATATATATATCTCCAGGAAGAGAGAAATGTAATAATTTATAGGCAATATAGAATACATTGTTCTGTGGTAGCAGAACTCTTTCCTATGGAGTGTTGAGGATGACTTGGAAAAAGCAGAATTTGGCCTTGCTGGTTGGGGGACTTAGATTATGAAGCACCTACTGGGTGCCAGGCACTGGGCTAAGAACTGGGAACACAAAGATGAGCACTTCATGGGCTCTGTCCCCAAGAGAGTGCTCACAGACTAGTGTGGGTGGCAGATCTGTGAACAGAGAACAGAGCAGAGCCCTGAAAAGAGGAGTGATACCTGTGTGGCTGGGGAGGTGAGCAGGGTGTGTGTGGAGAGAGAGAGACACGCAGAGAGAGAGAGAGACAGAGAGAGAGAAAGAAAGAAACTTCTGGAGGGGCTTCACTGAGGAGGTGGCATTTGGGTTATGTTTTCTCTGTGGATTTGGAGGAAGAGCATTTTAGACAAGCGGACAGTGAGTGCAAAGGCACAGGCAGACGCCACACAAGAAAGACAGGCATGCATTCAGAGGAGTCCGTGTGATTGGGAGAAAGGCTGCACACACCGTGTGGTAGCAGACAGTCTGGGAAAACCGGGCAGGAGAAAGGTCATTAGGGCCCGGGTGCCAAATAAAGTGTGCATTTCTTTTTATTTTTCTTTCTTTCTTTTTTTTTTTTTTTTTTTTGAGACAGAGTCTCTCTCTGTCACCCAGGCTGGAGTGCAATGGCACGATCTCAGCTCACTGCAACCTCCGCCACCCAGGTCCAAGCAATTCTCCTGCCTCAGCCTCCCAAGTAGCTGGGATTACAAGTGTGTGCCACCATGCCTGGCTAATTTTTGTACTTTTAGTAGGCACAGGGTTTCACCATGTTGGCCAGGCTGGTCTTCAACTCCTGACTTCAGGTGATCCACCCGCCTTGGCCTCCCAAAGTGCTAGGATTACAGGCATGAACCTCCACATCCGGCCAAAGTGTGCATTTCTATCTTTGGGGAGATCGAGAGCCGGCCACTATTTTTGAGCAGGAGAGGAGTGGGTTCATGTTTACCTTTCAGAAAGATCCCCCACTGGGAGAAGGGGGTCTTATTGCTCCAAGAAGCCAGAGAAAGGGAGACCAGTTGTGGGGTGGGTGGGTTGGTTGGGGGTGGAGGCTTTTAGGCAAGGACATGGCAGCAACTGCCAGGATGCCCACAGCTGGGTGGCATGCAAGATGGACTGAAGGCAGGAGTACTATTTGAGGCAAAGGAGACCTTTAGAGAAAATGCCCTGTCAAAGCCATTTATTTTAACAAATACTCTTCCATTGCTCTGTTTTTATTCCCTTCAGATGCATCTTTCCTTCTGGGATTGTGAAAATGGATGTCATTTCTGTAGCTTTCTGAAGTTTCGGTGAAGTTTCCTTTTCCTCTCAGTGGATTCTGTGTAGCAGGAAGCATGAGTTGATTTCAGCTTTTTGTCTTCTGAGACCTACTTCAGAGTGTGTTGCTGCTGGTCCGAGGCTGAAAGGAAGGTCTGTGATGTCATAGGCTGTGATTTTTCTAGAAATGTGTACTGAGATCAGCTGGCACAATTGTGTTTTAAAAACAAAAACATCTCAGGGGCAGTCCCCACATTCTGCATAACGGGACCCTTCACCCCACTGCCTAGATGGTTAATCCCGACAACTCAGAACACCCCACTAACCAAGGTGTTAATGACGTAACTCTCTCCTCACAGGAAAAGCTGCTCTGTAAGAAAAGGGCACTGAAGGAAGTGGCTTTTGTTCTAATGCCGAATTCCGGGGAGGCTGGTGCTTGAAATGTTTACCTCCTCCTGACTTTTTACATGATTTCTCCAGTTCTTGCATTTTATACACCAAAAGCAAAATACAGCTTGACCCTGGACTATTACATGGTGGCTCCGCCAGGCTGGCTGTGGAACTCAGGCTCTGCCATGCAATGGTTGGTTAGTCAGGAGACTGGAGCAGAGAGCAAATAAGGTCGAGGTCATGGTTGAAATTCCTATAGAGGCCAATTGGCTGGGCACATCCTGCCCTCCACTCTCTCTGGCCCTGTTGTACAGGGGACTGAGTAAGAGGGTATAGCTGGCTCAATGCAGCCCAGCACCGCTCTCTTAAATCGCATTGCACATCCTGAATGGCCAGTAAATAATACAGACTTCAGGCACAATGAGACCTTGCTTAAGCAACCCTCTAGAAGAAAGCACCATTATACCTTTCAGCTGTGGTTTTTTTCAGCCTTCATTAGTGATGTGGAACAGCATTGACTGCAGTAACTTTTCTACTAAGCAGAAACATTTGTCTGCTGCTCCAGTCAAAAATACCTGCTTTACAGCTTTAATTCGTCCCACAGAACTGCAGGTCCATAAGGTGAGGCCGTTTCCCTTCCCCACTTCCTCTCTCCATGCCCTTTCCTCACTCACTGATGGCCTCTTCTCCTCTGGTAGCCCCCGAAGCCTTTTTTTCTCCCTATCAGAGCAAGAAAGGCTCTTAGGATGGTTGTTTGCACGCCCAAGTTGACAGACTGCCCTTCATGGCAATGATTCCTGTTACTATTACTTCACCCAGACATTGAATGTCAGGGTTTTTTCTAGAAGGCTGTCAGTAGAAGTTGGCAGTTAAGAGTGGGTAGTTTAGAACCAGATCAAAGCCAGGCTGGGATCTGGCCCTGACAGTTACTATCTGCGTGCCTTGGGATAAGAACTTAACCTTGCCAAGCCTCGGTTTTCCTCTCTGTAAAGAAAAGCTCATACTGAAATTATTGCATGCCAGCTCTCAGCATTGCCTGTCACATGACAAATGTTAGTTATGATTATTTGTTAGCTAATTGACACACAGAAGGCTTTATTCTACTAAAGGCCTACAGCTAGCAAGTGGAGATAATTTTTTATTCAAATTTTTTATTATAAAAAATTTCAAATGCATAGAAAAGGTGAAATAATAGTACAGTTGACACTGAAATCCCTCTTCTAGATTCTACAGTTGTATACATTTTACCAAATATATGTTTTTTCCTAAACTATTTCAATGTAAGATACAGACATCATCCCTAAATACTTCAGCACACATCTCTTTAAAATAAGGACATCCTCTGACATACTCACAGTAACCTTTTTTACACTTAAGAAAATTAATGATAATTACCTAATATCCCCTGGTTCCCAATTCCCAAATCATATAACATTTTCCAAAATGTTTCCCAATATGTCTTCTAACAGATGTTTGTGTGTGTGTGTGTTTTAAAAAATTTCAGTAGCTTTTGGGGTACAAATGTTTTTGGTTACGTGGATGAACCGCAGAGTGGTGACGTCTGACATTTTCATGCACCCATCACCCAAGTAGTGTACATTGTACCCAATATGTAGTTTTTTATCCCATACCCCTCTCTCATCCTCCCTCTTCTGATTCTCCAAAGTCAATGGACTTTGGATGTTTTTTTTTCAAACAAGATCCAATCAAAACTCTTACATTGCATTTGGTTGTCATGTCTCTATTTTCTTTTATTCTAGAGCGGTAGGTGTGGGGAAATTTTGAGAACAATATTGTTGCTGAAATCAACTATTGGCTGCCAGGTGGAAATGGCTGCTGCCTCCACTGAGGCACACTGGGCCCCGCCACATTTATTAGCACAAGCCCTGTGATATGGTTGCATAGCTTGCTTTGCTGAACTTGTTGGTTACTAGCTACTGCTTAATGACTGGACATTAGAGACTCTTCTGTTGTTTTTATATTCCCACCACCTCCACAGCACCTAACACACAGGTGGTCAGTAAAAGTGGATGGAAGGAAAGGAGGCAGGGAGGAAGAAGGAAGAAAAAGGAGAGTGGGAAAGAGGCAGGCACGGGCAGGCCCCCCTGCCTCCATGCCAGGTGGGTACCTGGAGAGTGACACTGTGCCCTCCTGGGAAGCACCCACACTCCTTTGATTGGGGGAAAACGATTCCATGTGGCATGTGCCTTTTGTCCAAATATGCCTTCTTCCTTCGCATTCTCCTTTCCCTCTTTCCCATCCTCCTTACCTGAGCACTAGTTGGGATCCCTCAGACCTTCTGCTATCTTTAACTTAGTCTTTCCCTCTCTTCCCATATACAAGATTAACATTTGACATTATTTTAAAAATAATCTGTAATAGATTATCTTTTCCTACAATCACACTCATTTTCCCAATTCCCTGGGAGATAATTCCCACAAAATTTGTGGTCAGTAATTAAATTCCTGACCACAATGAATCATGAGGAATATATACTGTGTTCAGAGGGATGGCGTGGTATCCGTAAGGGAGCATCTGCTGAAGGGAGAGAGAGGACACATGGGGGTTAGCCCACAAAGCCAAGGGGAGCTGTCCTCCAAACACAACCAACAGAGTTTAGCTCAGGCTTCAGGATCAAACTATTGCTTCTATTCTGTGTGGAGAGAACAATGACTGAATTGGCTGGAATAGAACAAAGTTGTTAAAGTGAACTTTCTCCACACCTCATCTCTAATCCCTAAAATTTTGACTTAAACAAAATTTTGAGTTAAGCAAATTTGAATTAAAAATTTTGAGCAGATACAGGGAATGAATGCAAGAAGCTCTTGATTATCTTCATGGTGGACTGGCTCATTTTCATTCCGGGCTGACCTCGTTGATATGTTCTCTACCACTTCTCCTTGCTGAGAAGTAGTTGGCGTCTATTCAAAGTACACAGGCCATTTAATTATTAATCGGAGCAAAACATTATTAGGGAAGTTAAACTGTTGAGTAGGTGTGTGTGTGTAAACATGTGGATACTTTCTTGATTATCTAGCTGTTTTGTTTTGCCTTTTGCCTTTCTGGGTTCCTGCCCCTCTCCATTTGTGGTGATACCTGTAAGGTGATTATGCCACTGAATTCCTAAGAGCTTTTTGGTCCCTCTCTCATTCTCCTTGGATGTGTGTGGAAATGTTTGTCAGCAGGGGCGGACCGGGGAGGGTTCATGTACACAAGAAGTGACTGACCTTGGCCGCTGAGTGGAGTGTGTATTTGTGACGAGGAAAGGGTTCAGTGTTTGTGTTTGGTGATGGTTTTATGTCCTGCTGTCATTAGAGAGGACTTTATAGGGGTTTCTGATGACCTAGGGCTCCAGGAATCATCATGATTATTTAGACAATGATTTTAATGGGCCCATATAAACTTATTCTGTTTTTATACTAGTAACAGAGAAGAAGATGTTGGAAGATTAAATATAGAGAAGGATGGGCTTTAGCGTCACTGTTCAGGGACATTGGGAATTATTCTACAGAATTCGATCCAGCCTATTCTCATTATTTCCTTCTTCTTATGACTTTCATTCTTTCCTTACCTTCCTCCTTTTCCCTTTCTTCTTCTTCTTTTTTTTTTTTTTGAAACGGAGTCTCTCTCTGCCGCCCAGGCTGGAGTGCAGTGGTGCAATCTCAGCTCACTGCAAGCTCTGCCTCCCAGGTTCACGGCATTCTCCTGCCTCAGCCTCCCAACTGGCTGGGACTACAGGCGCCCGCCACCATGTCCAGCTATTTTTTTGTATTTTTAGTAGAGACAGGGTTTCACTGCCTTAGCCAGGATGGTCTCGATCTCCTGACCTTGTGATCCACCTATCTCGGCCTCCCAAAGTGCTGGGATTACAGGCGTGAGCCACTGCGCCCGCCCTCTTCTTTTTTTCTTCCTTGCTTTCTTTCTTTTCCCTCCTCCCTTCCTCTCCCCACCTTTATTTATTTCTTTCAACATGTACTGCCTGCTTACTATATATTAGTCACAGTCTAAATGCTGGAGATGCAGAGATGAATAACACATGGCCCCAGCCCTCCTGGAACTCAGTTTAGCGTGGGAGGCAGATGGAGGCACAGATCATTCCAGTACAGTGGTTAACGATAGAGATAAGTACAGGGTGAGCTCAATGTAGGGGTCCCTAATCCAGCTTGGCTTGGGAGAGAAGGCAGGAAGCTTCCTGGAAGAGATGATGGCAGATTGATTGGGAGTGGCTGAAAAAGGAGCAGGGCTCAAGGCCTTTACCTGGCAGGCCAGGTCATTCACATGGTTTATGAGCACTGGATAAAGGGAATGGGATGAAGGGCTTTGGGGGTATGGGTCTTCCATGAGATATGACACCAGATTTTGATGTCACTGCATATGGTTAGGACCACAGGGGCAGGGCAGAAATGATGTCTACTACTGTGGGACAGTACTAGTGACTTACCTCTGAAATCTGGGGACATTCCAAGGTATCTGCTCAGATGGTTGATCCTGGGGAATCCTGGAAGAAATGAAAGCTGAAATGAAAGATCACTCTTGAAGGCCAGTACATGACATATATGTACTCAGGGGTGAAGAGTCATGTAAGGGGAAATGGGCAGTGGGTAGTCAAGGTGTGAATGAAGATCACTGCTCAATAGAGTGGGGCGGTGAGGCTTGGGGAGGTGGAGGAGGACTCTTGGCTTCTCTAAAAAAAAAAAAAAGGCCTAACTTGTGCTGCAAGTTTTACTGGATGCCCAGGACTCTGGAGGAGTTTTTGCGCCAGTAGACAGGCAAGTGGCCACAACAGTTCTTATGCCCCACAAGGGCAGAGCCTTACATTGGCAGCTCCCTGAGTTACTTGAAGCAGGAGACCTTTTGTAACCTCAAGAAGACAAGAGGAATTCTGTTGAGGGAAGCTTAATCCCTGCTCCTTGGAGATCTCGGCATGATAGTAGAAAGAGCACATATGAGCTAGGAAAACATAAGTATCACATCTGATGATACCAACTGCAACAATAGTAATAGCCACTGTGTATCTAGTCTCTACCCTGTGGCAGGGCTTTTCATGTATTACTTAACCCTCATAACTACATAATAATATATAATGATAGAAGGTACTGTCATTCCCTCCATTTTATAGATGGGGAAATCAAAGTTTGGAAAGGTCACAGGTAGGAAGTCATAGAGTCACATTTGAACCCAGGTCATTCTAACTCTAGAGCCTCTGATCTCAACTGCTGTCCTTACTGTGAATAAATATTCAGTGCAGCTTCTCTTTGACTTGACCATAGGACCACAGCCCACCTGAAATGGTAGAATAGAGAGACCCTAGAGACTGATGAACTGCATTTCTACAGCACTACTAGTTATTATGAAGATGGATAATCTAAAATTTTCTATTTCTCTAACATGTAGTCTTAGGGCACTCAATATTAGTATTAGCCAAGAACATATGATTTGAGGGGAAAAATATGGATTAGAAAACAATCGCTCTGAAGTCTACTACTTTGGTAGTTGTTATGGAATGAATGTTTGTGTCCCTCCAAAGTTCATAAGTTCAAGTCCTAATCCCCAACCTGGTGGTACTATTAATAGATGAGGTCCTGAGGGCAGAGCCCCATGATTGGATTAGTGCCCTTATAAGAACAGGAAGACAGACAGACTAGAGCTTTCTTTCTTGCTCTCTCTCCATGGGTACACACCAAGGAAAGTCCATGCAAGGACATAGCAAGAAGGCAGCCATCTGCAAGCCAGGAAGAGAGCCCTCACCAAGAATCACATCTGCTGGTACTTTGATCTTGGACTGTAAGACACCTCCAGAACTGTGAGAAAATTGACATCCGTTGTTTGAGCCACCCAGTCTATGGTATTGTGTTACAGCAGCCAGAGTTGACTAAGGCAGTAGTAGTTAATATCAGCAGCTGGGTGAACACACTCTCTGTGTGTGTGTCTGTGAACTAGATCCTCTTAGTCAAAAGGGTTGTTGACTGTGTCTTGAGACCCCTCACTCTCTATATTAGTTTTGGGTGTTCTTTTTCTCATTGGTATTTATGAATAATTTATGCAAAAATGAGTTTTTAAAAACCTTCGGAAAAAAATATATTAGTTGGTTTATGATTCTTCAACAGATCAGAAATTGGGCACTCCCTGTCACCTGTGGCCCCCAGGGAGGCATGCAGATAGCTTTTACAAGTGAGAGGAGAGCTAGGATCTGCAGAGACCACTGGACTGCCTGCCTCCCTCCTTGCTCTGGGAGTCCTCCATGGTTCTGAGGGAGGCACAGATAATCTCTACAAGCTGTCTGGGCTCCCAGGTATTTGCTACAGAAGGTCTCGTGTGTTCAGAGGACCTAAAGCTACGGTACCCTTGAGGATGAGGAGAAAGGTGTACTTTCTCCCCTGTACAGAAGGCATGTGGAGAGCTGTGGCTTGGGAGGAGAATACCAGTGTGCCTCCCACTTCCTTAGCAGCCGGGCCTCCCTCCCCAGAGGGGCTGCACCACTTCTCAACTAGTGGCAGCTCATGAAATCCTCAAGTAGGAAGTGTATTAGTCAGGGTTCTCTAGAGGGACAGAACTAATAGGATGGATTTATATATAAAGGGGAATTTATTAAGAGGATTGACTCACACGATCACAAGATGAGGTCCCATAATAGGCTGGCTGCAAGCTGAGGAGCAAGGAGCAAGTCTGAGTCCCCAAGCTGAATAACCTGGAGTCTGATATTTGAGGGCAGGAAGCAACCAGCATGGGAGGAAGATGTAGGCTGGGAGGCTAAACCAGTCTAGTCTTTTCACGTTCTTCTGCCTGCTTTTATTCTGGCCGCACTGGCAGCTGATTAGACTGTGCCAACCCAGACTGAGGGTGGGTCTGCCTTTCCCAGTCCACTGACTCAAATGTTAATCTCCTTTGGCAACACCCTCACAGACACACCCAGGAACAACACTTTGCATCCTTCAATCCAATCAAGTTGGCACTCAATATTAACCATCACAGGAGGAATCTGCAAAGGTCATTTAGCCCAGCGCTTCTTAGTCCATAAGGTTCAAGCATTTTACCTGGGAACTTTGTTAGGGAGGAGATTTTTTTTTTGAGATGGAGTCTCGCTCTGTCACCCAGGCTGGACTGCAGTGGCATGATCTTGGCTCACTGCAAGCTCCACCTCCTGGGTTCACACCATTCTCCTGCCTCAGCCTCCTGAGTAGCTGGGACTACAGGTGCCTGCCACCACGCCCAGCTATTTTTTTTTTGTATTTTTTAGTAGAGATGGGGTTTCACCATGTTAGCCAGGATGGTCTTGATCTCCTGACCTCATGATCTGCCCGCCTCGGCCTCCAAAAGTGCTGGGATTACAGGTGTGAGCCACTGCGCCCGGCTGAGAGGAGATTCTTATTCAGGAGGTCAGGGTGGGGCCTCAGCGTCTTTAACAAGCTCCCAGGTGATGCTGCTGCTGCTGATCTGGGGACCACACTTTGAAGAGCAAGAATTTACTCTATGTCAAGGTAGGCTACATTTCAGTGACCATCACAGTCAAGTGAATGTCCATCCTGATACAGAGAAGCAAATTCTCTTCTTCAACAGCTTTCTTACCTTGTAGAAGCTCTTACTCAGCAAGCACAAATCCCTTTAGTTTCATGCCCATTTTTTCAAGTTCTTCTCTCAGCAGAGATGGAGATGCAAAGTAGCCCTCTCCCATATCATAATCCTTAGTTATTTAAAGACTACTAAGTCAGATCTATTTTTAAAAGCACCACTTCTCTCTCTGTTCTTATGCCTGTGTTACCCAGGTTGGTTAGTAGGAATGAAACTCCTGGGGCACTCTTGGCTGAGGACTTGGCACTGGAAACATTCATGATCTGCTTATGCAGCTGGAATCTCCTCACATGCCCATATACTATTCTTTCTCAGTTCTCTACAGTAAAGGAATGGCAAAGTTATAAAAGTCAAAATCTGAAGAGGAGTGAAAACCTCCACTTAACCTTTAGTATCATCACTCCTCTTCTCAGAACTCGATCAAGATGTTATTCACAGGTAACAGTGACCTGGTTTGGATTTTCTCTTTCCTCCCTGGCTCTACATGTCTCATGGTCAAAAGAACTTGGAAGCAAAGACTTAGCCATCTACCATGGCCAAGCAAAGGAACCTGCATAACCCCCAATAGGCCTGGGCACAGTGGCTCACGCCTGTAATCGCAGCACTTTGGGAGACCGAGGCGGGCAGATCACGAGGTCAGGAGATCAAGACCATCCTGGCTAACACAGTGAAACCCCATCTGTACTAAAAAATACAAAAAAATTAGACAGGCATGTTGACGGGTGCCTGTAGTCCCAGCTACTCGGGAGGCTGAGGCAGGAGAATGGCATGAACCCGGGAGGCGGAGCTTGCAGTGAGCTGAGATCACGGAGCCAGACTCCGTCTCAAAAAAAAAAAAAATTAATAACCCCCAACCTGAATGAGAGTCCACAGGTTGGATCTGAAGTACCCAATAGTCCGTGTTCGAGGGTTCTATCCCCCTGAGCTCTCTGCTTTCTTTCTGCCCCAGAAAGGACTGCTGTCAGGTCTTTGCACGTTTGTGTGACTTTAAGTCAACATGTTTCCTCTCTCCAGGACACTTGTATTTTAAAACCTTTCTCTCCAGTATGGAATGAAATTTGTCCTTTGTTAAAGAAGCTAATGGTCCCAGGTGACAGGTTATTTTATGTATTATACCTGCCTAGGATGGCACAGTAGACATTGCCTACTAGAAAGAAGGTACTGCCACTTACAGGTTCACAGTGATATCCGGGGTGGAAGGGAGGACTCTTCCAGGAGAAAGCAAGGCATCCAGGAGGAGACCACCAAGAGGGCCTGTGTCCTTTGCAGGTTTCTGGGGGTGCAGAGTTATTCAGAAGTCTGCTGTTACCCTGACCCCATCCTCAGCAGAACTTCCTCCATCATTTCAGAAGGTAAAATGAGGCAACTAGAGCAAAGGATGAGATGGCAACTTCTGTTTTGCTTTTTTTTTTTTTTTTTTTTTTTCTGACAGGCAGTGTGTAGGGAGCTCTGTATGGGGAGTATGACTCACCAGTATTGGTCATGACTCTGGGCCCAGGATTCACAAGTGTTCCAAAATTAGCAACTGGCCGTGGTGTACACCCACAGAGCAGTTAGACATTTCCCATTGAAAACACTCAATGGGAAAGCTACAAGGATAAAGGGAAGGTTAAAAGAGCTGTAGATTATTACAGCTCTTCTAGTTAGCCTACGGAATATCTTCCTCTCTGCTTGTCCATTTATATTTCTCATTCTCTTTCTGGAGAACACATTCCTCTTTGCTTCAGCATTTAGTACTTGTTCATTCATCCATTTAGGAATTTTTTTTAATTGAACATCTTCCCTGTGTCTAGCACCGTTCTGGGTGTGAGGGAGGCATCAGAAATAAAGCAGTCCTTAGTCTCCTGGAGTTCATGGTTCAGTGGGCCAACCTTGGGCAAGTGACCTAATCTCTTAAAATTTCCTCATTTGTGAAATAGGCATAATAGGCCAGGAGCGGTGGCTCACGCCTGTAATCTCAGCACTTTGGGAGGCCAAGGCAGGTGGATCACCTGAGCTCAGGAGTTCGAGACTAGCCTGGCCAACATGGTGAAACCCTGTCTCTACGAAAAATACAAAAATTAGCCAGATGTGGTGGCACGCACCTGTTAATCCCAGCTACTTGGGAGGCTGAGGCAGGAGACTTGCTTGAACCCGGGAGGCAGAGGTTGCAGTGAGCCGAGATTGAGCCATTGTACTCCAGCTTGGGCAACAAGAGCAAAACTCTGTCTCAAAAAAAAAAAAAAAAAAAAAGAAAGAAAGAACGAAAAAAAAGAAATAGACATAATAATGTACCTGATTCATTGTATATATACAATGTATATATAGCACTCATCAGAGTGCCTGATGCTTAGCCGACATTTAATCAATGTAAGTTGTTAGCTTCTGTTGAGAAACTGGTGTGGGACTAAGATGATTGTTGTCCTGATTTGCCTGTTGGTGTCATAGTCAGATCTTCACCCTGGGAACTTAGGGCCTCAACAGTACCATGGCTGGGAACTTAGCTACAGTGGGGAGGGACCCAGAGATGCTGAGCTTAGTATATGCCTCCACTCCATTGGTCAAACTCGCTCAATCTAAAAGGAGCTGGGTAATCAGTGAGTGCTTGGTGGTGGTAATAAAGAATCTGTCTACGGTGTAATTCAATTTTGTAGTCGTTATCTTTTCCATTTTAGTGTAGGGACCCACCCAATCAGACAGCTGCACAATGAAAATAAAGGCTGGGAATGCCAGGGTGTGTCACTGGTTGTAGTCCCACGCTAGCAAGGGGAAAGTCAGGTTGCAAAACCAGCGCTGCCTGCCTTCAGTGGAGAAACCATGTAACCTCCCAGGCCTGCAGCTTCCCTAGGCCTCAGTTCCTTCCCTGGGCATCCTCCTTGGTGAGGTTTCTGGATCCCTGCAGGCACTGGTAGTTTTTGGTTTGGGTGCTCATATAAAACTCCTTACAAGTCTGTTAACACAATCTTATCTTACTGTCATTATTTGCATGTTAGTTCCTTAATAGGTCCTATTTCTTTCTGTCTTCCTGATGACCCTTCCAAGAGCTCCTTTAGGTTTGGAAAAGGCAGAGTAGATCCTCTGGCCTTCCCCAATGAGGACCTGGGTGGGTGGTGGTGGTAGTAGGGGGTCGGTAGACAAAGCCATCTTTAAGGAGGTGCCTTCTGCATCACCCTCCATTGTGAGATTCCAGGCAGGTGCCTTAAAATAGCTCTGCCACTAGCTGATCACTCAATCCCATTTACAAGGGCAAACCTTCTTCTGTCAGGGAGAAAAGGTTTAAACATACAGAGGGAGGTAACTGTTGCAGTAAGTAGCCTTAAAGCAAGCAGAGGGGCGCTAAATCATCTCTAAACTTCCAGGTCTATGATTCTAAGATCTTAATTATCCTAACTGGGAAGGAGAGAAGAAAAGAAAAAAAAAATAGGTGGCTTAGAAAGTGAGCAGAGAGTGTAAAGCTTGGAGATTTTTCTATTTGAGATTTGGCTGCATTTAGAGCCAGTTTTTAAGCATTGCCAGGTTCACCTTTGTAAAAGGCGTTTAGAAATCTGCCACTATCAGATTTAAATCAATCTGGCTAATTGGTGTGATTGGAAAGTTGCAGTGGGGCAAGTAATCAGATTGGTTCCGGAGCCTCCACCCTTTGCTGTGCCTGGGTGCTACCTCCTGCAGGGTAGCATATTCCCAATTTTTGTGGTTTTGCAGTGGCCTCCTTTCCTAAGCCCACTAAGCATTTTCCTGTTCTTTTGCAAGGTCTTCTTTTTGTGTCAGGGTGTGGTGGAGCCACACAGGACTGGCATGATATTCACCACTTGTTACTTATGGAACTTGAACATATTTAACCTCTCTGACCATCAGTTTTCTCATCTGTAAAATGAGACCACATTAACGTAGCTTATAGACTTACTATGAGAATTAAATGTATACATGTGTAGATGATCATATTAGACTTTAATTGAAAAGCTTTCCAGTAGGTGTCTTAGTCTGCTTTCTGTTGCAATAACTAAATCCCTGAGACTAGGTACTTTTTTTTTTAAAGGAATTTATTTGGCTGGGCGCAGTGGCTCACGCCTGTAATCCCAGCACTTTGGGAGGCCGAGGTAGGCGGATCACGAGGTCAGGAGATCAAGACCATCCTGGCTAACATGGTGAAACCCCATCTCTACTAAAAATACAAAAAATTAGCCGGGTGTGGTGGCAGGAGCTTGTAGTCCCAGCTACTTGGGAGGCTGAGGCAGAAAAAAGGAATTTATTTCTTACAGTTCTGGAGGCTGAGAAGTCCAGGGACAAAGGATTCCATCTAGTCGGGGCCTTCCTCTTATGGGGACCCTCTGCAGAGTCCCAAGGCAGCTTGGGACATCACATGGTGAGGGGGCTCATGAGAGAGAACCAACCTGGCTTTTTATAACAGACACACTCTTGTGATAACTAACCCACTCACACAATGATAACCTATTATCCATTAACCCAGGAATGGACTAGTCAATCCAATCATGAGGGCAGAGCCCTCATGACTCAGTCACCTCTGAAAGGCCCCACCTCCTGATACTGTTTCACTGGAGAGTGAGTTTCAACATGAGTTTCAAAGGGGACAGTTTCAAATTATAACAGTAGAATTATGTGCATGTCCAGGTGTGCCATTTAGTAGCTGTGAGACCTTAAACAAATTACTGTGCCTCAGTTTTTTTATCTGTAAAATAGAGATAATAATACTACCTACTTCAATGGTTTTTGGTAATGATTAAATGAGTTAATATGTGTAAAATGCTTGGCATAGTAATTGGCAGATGGTGTGTACTATGTTTTAGCTTTTAATATTATTATTATGCATATTATTATGCAACACACCCAGTCTAATACCTGGCACAGAGGAATGTTAAAAAAAAAAAAAAAAGTTTGAATCCCTGTGCTCTGACACCTTTAGCTCCAAACTTGCTGCTGCTACTCAGGATCTCCTTCCTCTCTAGTTGTCCTGTTTAGCTGAGCCTCTCTCCAGCTTATGTGAAACCGTGTCTTGGTAGCTGCTGGGCAATTAGGCATTCAAGGCCCATGTTTGGTGGCCTAGGTAGGCCAGCAGGCAAGTTCAGGAGGGACTGAATCGGTGAGAAGGACCAACAACTTTCACTGACCTCATGACTTCATTCCCTTTATTTGGGGTTCTAGCCTCAGGACACACCAGAGAGGGAAGCCACGGCGTGTCCTTCAGGCCTTCTCAGGAAGCAGGCTTTCCTGAAGGAAGCAGTCCCTAAAACAGACTTGCACCTCTACATTTTGTCAGCCCTGGCACATGCTGTAGGAGGTTCTGGGTTAGCTTCGATGGGGATGTTTTTTCAAGCCTGCAAACTGCAATAGGTGACAACTTCCAGTCCCAAGAGTTTGGCTGGCTCTGCGTTGAACACAAAGCTTCCACTTGCTGCTGAGGGCTGCTGTGCTCTGCCTGCCTTCCAGGGAGAGTTACTTCTGGAAGGCTGTCATGGAGGGAGGAGAGCTAGGCTGCCGGGCCAGCTGCCCACTACACTGGTTCAAACTGGCTGTGCTGGCTCAACAAGGAAAAGACAATCTCACTAATCAGCAGAATCAATCACAGATTAGGAGCTTACCCTGCGAAGGCACAGTGGAGGGTAAAATGGAACAGAAAACAAAGCCCATGTCCTCAAGGAGTTCGCCAAGCTGGTGGAGGAGACGAAAACACTTAAAGAGTAAACTAATAATAACAGGGTATCCGAAGTCACCAGTTTGTCCTTGCAGGTATCAGTGACCTATAGCACTCCTTAAACTCCTGTGGTTCTAGGTAAAACAAACCTTCCCAGCAGAGGCATAATACTACCTATTCTATACCAGGCATTCTTCTAAAGGCTTTTTAATATATTATTTTGTTTAGTTTTCACAGTGACCTTTTGTAGTAGGTGTTAATCTCCTCATTTTCAGATGAGGAAACTCAGGGTCAGACAGGCAAAGGGACTAACCAGAGATCCTCTAGGTAAGAAGTGATGGAACCAGGATCCAAAGCCAGGTTCTCTGGCTCTGGAGGCTGTCCCTTCACCCTCCAGGTTAAACTAGCCGGAGCCAGGGAGGGCGGCTCTGGGAACCACACTGGATAGGACTCCTTCCTCTCTGACGTTGTGGGGAATCCACTGTTGCCTGCTCCTGCCCTTGCTGACTAAAGGCCTCTTGTGTGTGTTGTGTTCAGTAACTTGAGGGAGAATCTGCTCAGTTTGTCCACCCACCACCCAAGGTAGGAATCCCTCTCAGGGAAGGGGTCTCCTGCCCCCTCATAGGCTTTGGGCCACTCCCAGATGGTTGCTTTTAGGGGAGAAAAGGATGCTAATCCAATCAGTTGTGACCAGGATGGTGGTAGTCACATGGCATAGGGGAATCAAATGGTTCCCCGTAACCATCTGATTGTTAGGAGGAGCTTGCCTAGTGCATGCATCTATAAAGAAGGATGTGACAGCTCCTTCCTCCCTACTTATGCTGTATTGCTGCTGGCTGTGCACTCAGAAGCCTTAAAAAACATACATGTTTGCACATAGTATATTTATAAGACTGTTAATAGTGAAAAATAAATGTAACTATCCAGCCATAGGGGATGTACCTAAACAACAGATTACCATATAACTGTTGAAATCAATGCTATATAAGTATACTTATTAACATAGAAAGATTTTTTTCAGTATGTTGCTAAATGTCAGGATCCACTTGAAAAACAGAATGAATAGTCTGATCCTATTTTCAGAAGGAAAAAATGTATATGTGTGTATAGAAAAACATTTTCATTTATACATCAACATATTAATGGAGGCTGTCTCTGATAGGAAGGATTTTAGGTTATTTAAGTTCTTTTTGCTTATGTGTATTTACATTTTTCTACAGTAAATATACATTTCTTATTTAATAAACCTGTTATTTTTAGAAGATCTAATGATGTTAGAAATAATCTTAATTTTATAAAAAGAATCATCTCACCTTAAATATGAGAAAACAAAATATCTGAATTTCTTGTTCTTTCTCCCTTTTTCCCCCTTGTTTTTGGTGGAAAGCAGATAGTATTCATTGTGGAGAATGATTCTAGGCTAGTAATTTACCTTAGAGCCATGGCATACGAGAGCTGGAAGAGATTTTAGGGATCATCTAGCCCAATTCCTTATTTAACAGATGAGGAAACTGGACTGAGAGGCTTAGCTAGTTCTATAAGTGCTCGGTAGCAAAACTTTGGTTGGAATCCAGGTCCTTGGACACAGTCCAGAGAATTTTCTTTTCTTTTCTTTTCTTTTTTTTTTGTTTCGAGACGGAGTCTCACTCTGTCACCCAGGCTGGAGTGCAGTGGCATGATCTTGGCTCACTGCAACCTCTGCCTCCTGGGTGCAAGTGATTCTCCTGCCTCAGCCTCCTGAGTCGCTGGGACTACAGGCATGTGACACCACGCCTGGCTCATCTTTTGTATTTTTAGTAGAGACGGGGTTTCACTGTGTTAGCCAGGATGGTCTCGAACTCCTGACCTCTGGTGATCCATCCACCTCGGCCTTCCAAAGTGCTGGGATTACAGGCGTGAGCCACTGCACCCGGCCCAGTCCAGGGCATTTTCTACACCACTATGACAGGCTGTTATATTTGCCTCGTTGACACATAGAGAGGACTGTAATCTTTTCGTGTGGAGGTAACAACTCTTAAGCGTAGAAAAGTTGTCATGCTGACCAGTCACTCTTCTTCAGTCACTATTCTACTGAGAGGAAAACATGGGTTTTAACTGATTGCAGATCCAATGTTGAGAGTTACGACATTGTGATGGGTGCTGGGAAAATAATTCTTGCAGTCCCTTATAGAAATCTCCTACCTAGAAATCTTATATGTGATTCCACAAGAAGGCAGAGGCCAGGCCACAAGCGTTTTTCCATGTCCCCTCCTCTTCTTCAGCTGTTGGGTCATAAATGCTGCTTGGGATATGTTCATTCCTCTTCCCAACATTTATCTTTCTGAAAAGTAGGTAGTGATAGTTGTTCAAAGTCAGCATACCATAAATATCGCTCTTAACCCTTTTGTGAAACCAGTTTTGAGATACTGCACTGATCATATTGCTTTGCCAACTCTCCTGGAGAATCCTTGGCATTAACTATATTGCGTCAGTTAAGACTTTTGGCTACACACATCAGAAACTCCCCTTGAACTAGTTTAGCAAAAAAGGGAATATATTAGCTTATGGAATCCATAGAAAGGTTGAGTATCCAAACTAAGAAAAGGTCAGGAAAACATGGAGCTGGGCCTCAGGAACCACAAGCACCAGGGACTTCACTGTGCCGGCCTTTGTCTCTACTGTGCATCTGTTTCTCACTCATGGTTGCTTCATTTCTCTTTTACTGCAGACAGGCTATCTCCATTTCCATGGCCATATTTCCATAGGACAGTTTCTATCACCAGAGATGAACTTAGCTGATCTTTCACTTGTTCTAAGTTAAGAAATCCCAATGGGAGGGCCAATGTGTGTTCCAGCTGTGACCAGGTTCTGGGTCATCTAAGAACATGATGTTTCCAACATGAACACATTGTCTAGGGGAAAAGCAGGTCTTAGAAGATTGGGAGGTAGTGGGCTAAGACGAGGATATCCTTCACCCCTAGCTATTCCTTAGAGATAATAAGTTTGATGAGGAGGCAGAACAATTAGGTGATGAGTGAGAATTCTTAAGAAGTGAAAATAAAAATCCTGAGAGTGTGGATGTGCCTGGCCAGGGTCATCCATTTTTACAATGTTTTGACATCCAGTGAAAAAATAATTGCAGTGAATCTCTCCCTGACTTGGCCCCCAAAGAGGCAGACCTAGGTATTTTAGGACCTGAGTCAAGTTTGAAGAACTGTGCTGTCTCTTCCCAACCTTCTCTTCAGAGAACTAAACCACGGGGGTAACAATCCTGTAATTTTGGCCGTATTTATAAATCCCTGATCCTTTATGTAGCGCATTTTTTCTACTCTGCGCTTAGTCTGAATGTTGCTATTTTCACAGAGGAAATCAGAGGAAAGAGACTATAATTATAGGTCAAACACCAGCTCCGGAAACAGTGAAGGCAGCAGAGAGCCTATGACTCCCTGCCCTCTTCCGGGTTACACCCTGGACATCTCCCCGTTCTTTCCTGGAGCCTAGGTCAGCTCTTCGCCTCTTTATCTTCATATCTTTGCTGTCTTGTTTTCCAGTCCAGCATATCATGAGACAAAAAGGGAAAGTTACAACCAAAAGCCAGTGAGTTAAAACTGCACGATACTTGGGCAAGCCTGCCTCTTGGAGATAATTCAAATGGAAAAGAAAAGACAAAAAACCCCACAACATTTCAGGTCATTGGCCTTTTTAAACAGACCGCCGGCAATATTTACTCCTCCTGAAATAGCACAGTCACATGAAATAAAACCGTGTTCGGTAAAGCCTGCAAAACAAAAGGACAACTTACAGGCTGGCATGCTCACTGAGGGCCTTCTGTTTACCGGCCAGATCAGGGCTCTGCTTCCGGGCTCTCTAGCCACCTTCTGCCCAAACCTGCTGGAGAGCTGTGGGGGTCAAGGTCAGATTTTCTTGGAGACCCTCCCCACTCTTTTCCCCTTAAATGATTTGGAAAGGCAGGTTGAGAGTTGGGAACAGGGCTGTGAAGAGTATGTGGCTGATGTGGCCTCTACTGTAGAAGCCCAGGTTGTGAATGTCGCAGGAGGAGCTTCTAATGGTGTCTGCCCTTGTCCAGCATGGTCACCTCTGTTTCCTCTCTGTTCTTTACTCCTTACTTCTTAATGCATTTACCTCCCCCACACCTCCCCCAGACCCCTGCCTTCTCTCTCTCTCATCTGTTTCCCCCCCTCAGCCTATCTTGTATTCCCCTTTTGCCTTCTCTCCTGACCTTAGTTCTGCCAAGGACCCTTCATGGACCTTTAGTGATTAGTCCAACTGTTGCCTGGAAGGTCTAAAGTAGCTGCTAATGGTGAGGTTAATGAATGTACAGTCACAGGCCAGATCTGGGGTCATGGTGAATTCCCACTGAGACTGAGACTTCACTGAGGACTCAGGGGAACCTTCTCAGTCTCATTCTTTAAGCTTTTCCTCTCCATTACTGATATTTCTTTGTAAAAATCCAAAAACCATTTAAAATAATACATTATACCTTGTTTCTCAAAGTCTTTTTATATCCGTTGATTTCATCTTTACATCAACCTTGAGAGGGAGGCAAAACAGTTGAGGAAAGAGAAAAACAAAGAAGCTCAACAACATTCCCAAGTTAGTTACAGAGCTATGTTCTCTGCTCCCTGGGTTCTCCTGAAGCAGGAGAATCTCTTGAACCCAGGAGGTGGAGGTTGCAGTGAACTGAGATCGTGCCACTGCACTCCAGCCTGGGTGACAGAGAGAGACTCCATCTAAAAAAAAAAAAAAAAAGAAGAAAGAAAATAAGATTCATTCCATACACCAGAGAGGGATCCTCCAACACCCAGGGTGAGAAGTACATTATCAGGCATCCCTGGCTTATCAAACACTGGACACTTTGTTGACAATCAACTTTGTCACCTGGAACTTCATGAAACAGATTTCCCTGAGTGTCTGTGTTTCCTTCCTTTCTTTCTTTTTTTTTTTGAAACGAAGTTTTGCTCTTGTCGCCCAGGCTGGAGTGCAATGGTGCAATCTCAGCTCACTGCAACCTCCACCTCCCAGGTTCAAGTGATTCTCCTGCCTCAGCCTCCCAAATAGCTAGGATTACAGGCGTGTGCCACCACACCTGGCTAATTTTTGTATTTTTAGTAGAGACGGGGTTTCACCATGTTGGCCAGGCTGGTCTTGAGCTCCTGACCTCAGGTGATCTGCCCGCCTTGGCCTCCCAAAGTGCAGGCCTGAGCCACCACGCCCGGCCTGTGTTTCCTTTCTTTACATCAACCATCTAGCAGCTACTGGTTTCATTTTCTTTTGCACATGCCAAAGTATGTACAGTAAGTGGAAGAGTTAGCCAGAGATGTATATAATGTACTCTTATTTTTTCAAATGATTCAAAAGAAAATTATGACTGTAAAAATTTACTTTTAGGCCTCTAGTGGAGCCTCGCTCTCTCTTTCCTTCTCTCTCTTTCTCTCTGTCCATCTATCTATTACAGATACTAAGTGCTCAGCACTGTGATGTAGGAGGTTCTGATATATTTGTTGGAAAAAGAATCCTCGAGAAACAGTGTAGCAGAAATGTGTGCTTTCACTTCTAACAGCCAGCACTTGCATCTCTATGTCAAAGGGCTGCTCTCAGGCTGCCAGGACCCCCTTTGCATGAAGGCACAGAGAGCTGAAGGGTCTGGACTTTACACACCCGGAAAGCAGCCCTTACCCAGTGACTGGCAGGTGCAGTGAGTAAACACTCCACTCTGAGGTCTCACTTACACTGTCACTGCCCTGTGGGACTGAGCTCAAGTTACCCTCTGTGGGATTTCACTTGATTCCATATCCTTTTCTGGATTCCACATCTTTTTCTGGATTCCACATATTCCTCATTCCACCTTCTCACACCCCTACTGTTTTTTCCTGGGAACACATCCTAAAAAAAATCACGTCCACACCAATTCTTGTCTTAAGATGTGCTTCTGAGGGAACCTAGCTGAAGACAGAGAGTTTGTTTTGTCTTGGGCTCCCTCCCAACCCAAGTCTCTAGGATCAGAGTGAGTGAGAGAGATGGGGGAGTGGAAGAGCAGGCCTGTCTTCAGACACCAGAAGGAGACGTAATTAAAAGCTGAAGATGGTGCCTTCCTAAGGACCGGTGATACAGTTTGCATGTCCCTTCCAAATCTTATGTTGAGATGTAATTCCCAGTGTTGGAGGTGCGGCCTGGTGGGAGGTCTTTGGGTCATCGGGGAGAATCCCTCATGGCTTGGTGTTGTCCTAGTAATAGAGAGTTCTCATGAGATTTGGTTGTTCAAAAGTGTGTGGAACCTCCCCTGGCTCGCTCTCTTGCTCCTGCTCTTGCCATGTGAGGCACCTGCACCCCCTCCACCTTCGACCATGATTGTAAACCTCCTGCGACCCTCACCAGAAGCAGATGCCAGCACCACGCTCCTTGTACTGTCTGCAGAAGTGTGAGCCAATCAAACTTCTTTTCTTTATAAATTACCCAGCCCCAGGTTTTTTTTTTAATAGTAATGCAAATGGGCAGCACTCAAGCAGGGAGAGACAGTGTTCCCAGGTCTGCACAGAATGTATCTCTAGTGCAGAGGGGAGAGGACTGATGGTAACTGAATATCACTTGACACCTCAGGGTTCCCAGTTTGAAAAATACCAGGAGATGGAACCCATGTGGGAAAATGACATCCTTAAAGTAGGCAGAGGGAGCAGCTTCGAGGCCTTTCTTCCAGGTGGTTTCTTGGGGGCAGATGTGCATGAGCAGACTTAGGCCTGAGTGCATGAGAACCATCATCTGGGATGCCCAGAAATAACTGGGAGAATGAATGAAGCACTGATACATACAACCACATAGATGCACCTTGACAACATGCTAAGGCAAGAAGCCAGTCATAAAAGGCCATATACTGTTTGGTTCCATTTATATGAAATGTCCAGAACAGGCAAAGCCATGGAGACAGAAAGCAAATTAATGGTTGCCAGGGGCTGGGAGGAGATGGGAATTAATGGGAAGTGACTGTTTTGTGGGTAGGGGGTTATCTTTTTCAGTGATGAAAATATTCTGGAACTAGATAGTGGTGATGGTTGTACAGAGTTGTGAAATACTAAAAGCCGCTGAGTTGTACACCTTAAAATGGCACATTTTATGATATGTAATTACATACGTAAACCTCAATTTTAGAAAAGAAAGAACTAGGAAATTTGAGGTGGCAGAAGAAAAGCTGAGGTCCTGATTCACAAGAGGAAGTTGCAAGTTAGTAAAATATTTGTTGTTAATGCTACTTTCTCTTCATTTATTGCCTGAATTGTTTCTCATTTGCCTGGTGATGATTGGGATCATCTGTGTTACATGAGACAGTATAGAATTCAGTGCTAAGTTGTGCAGCACACATTCTAAGTGTGGAAGGTGGGTTGTATAGATCACATACTGTACAACCTCCGTGTCTGTACATGGTAGCCCTGGTCAGTTACATATTTCTGCAAACTTCAACACAGGATCTCCACATACAAAGATAGAATGCTAGATTCTTTCTTCTAATTGTTTCAATGGAGTGCAGTGGCGAGATCTCGGCTCACTGCAACCTCCGCTCCCGAGTTCAAGCAAATCTCCTGTCTCAGCCTCTCAAGTAGTTGGGACAACAGGCACACGCCTGACTAATTTTTTTGTATTTTTAGTAGAGACAGGGTTTCACCATATTGGCCAGGCTGGTCTCGAACTCCTGGCCTCAAGTGATTCACCCGATTCAGCCTCCAAAGTGCTGGGATTATAGGCATGAGCCACCACACAGAACCTGAGACCATGTCTTTTTAAGCAAAGGGATTCCCCCCTTTCTTTGCTGCCTTGAGTCGGGGAGCTATAGGTTCTTCCTGATGCTGTGATTTCCCTACCTGACTCCAAACTGGGTATACACCAGGGGCCTGGCACTGGTGCCCACCCTATGAGAGTCTTCAACCCTGGATAGGGTTCTGTTCTGTTTGCTACGGATCTTCCCAGATTCTTCTCCAAATGTCAGGGTTGGTACCTGGGTCCAAAGATTTGCCTCATTTCTGAGGCAACAGAAAAGCAGATTTGATTTCTGGAAGTCATTATGGCATCTGATTTTTCTTGGTCACAATACACTCTAACATGGAGTAGGCTAATTATGATAATACATTTGATATAAAACTATAGTGAAATTGTAGTCTAAGCACTAAGGCCAGTTCAAAAGTCATTACAAGTTTTCTTTTTCAGTGAAAGAAAAAGGAAGTTCCAATTAAAATGTAGGATTTAGCTCCAACCATCCAGTTCTAGCATTTCCTAAGCTTTTGGGACTAAAAATAAATCATTTTCTGACAGTAGTTAGACAGTTCCTTTTCCTCTGAACAGCACGGTCTGAGAGATAGTTAACTTCCCAGCATTCTTCTGTGTATTGTGCGGCGGGTCCAGCCCTCCGCTCCTCACCTCCACACTTCCACCCCGCGAGAGAAATCAGCATAGATGGGTCTCTCCTCCACGGCCTGCATTTCATAAGGGGGTCTGTCTCCAGACACCCAGGTTGGGTGTTTACTTGAAGGCTTGGATGGATAGGAATGCCACTTTCTTATTCCAGAGCTGGTGGAGTGCCTGCTCCCCGCTACTGGCTGTGAGCCAGAGATGGCCTAAAGTCTAAACATTCCCACTATGTAGGCATGTTTTCAATGTCCCTGAGCTTGAGTCACATCTGAACTCAGAGTTTCTGCCTCCTGAGGGAGTTTATGTGGTTGTGTCTGTGTGCTGGTGGGGTTTGTATATGCATATTATGGATTGGAGTGTTTGTGTGTATGTATGGGTGTATTCTGGGAGTTAAAGTGGCTAAGTGTACATATAAAAATTGATATTTATTGTGAAACAGTCAAACAGTAAAGAAAAATGTAAGTTAAAAAACCATAAAATATCACTTTAGTGGACACTTTCCCATGTATTTCTACACACACACACACACACACACACACACACACACACGTAATTTTCTATAAGTGTTATCAATATATTGGAAGGCTGTTTTCTAAGCTAATAATAATAAGAATGGAGAGTGAGTGCTTGCTGTGTGCTAAGTACTGTGCTGGTCCCTTGTCCCTTGATATAGATTAACCTCACTTAATTCTCATGGCCACTTTATGAGGTAGGTACTATCATTATCCCCGTTTTACAGATGAGAAGACTAAGCCAGAGAGAGGGTAGATAAGGTTAGTCTCAAGTGGGTGGCCACACAGCTAGTAAGGGAATGGAACTGGGATTTGGACTCATCTGACTCTGGGGACTCTGTTCTTGACCACTGCTTGATAAAACCAGGTGACAGTAGGCAGCACAGCTGGGCAAGGGTTATTCTTTCATCATTTACTGAGTACCTGACATGGACTAGGCCATAAAAATCCATACAAGACACAGATCTTCTTGAGGCTCAAAGTCTTTTGAAGGAGACAAATGTGTAAGTAAATGATGGCAATTCAGAGTAATTAGGCAAATTACAAAGAGAACAAAAGGGAATCCATTAATACTACCTGAGGAAATTGTAGAGATAACATTGTAACTGTGTCTCAAAGGAAAAGGAGGAGCTGTTTGTTGGGAGTTAAGGTTGGGTAGGATGGGAAGGAAGGGGAAAAGGCCACTTTAGGCTGAGCAAATAACATGTGCAAGGGTATTGGAAATCTTAAGTGTGTGGTGTAGCTGCAGGTAAAGAGTAAGGGAAGGTCTTTGGCTCATGCCTGTAATTCCAGCACTTTGGGAGGCCGAGGTGGGTGGATCACCTGAGGTCAGGAGTTTGAGACCAGCCTGGCCAACATGGTGAAACCCCGTCTCTACTAAAAATACAAAAAATTAGCCAGGCGTGGTGGTGGGCACCTGTAAGCCCAGCTACTTGGGAGGCTGAGGCAGGAGAATCGCTTGAACTCGGGAGGTGGAGGTTGCAGTGAGCCAAGATTGCACCATTGCACTCCAGCCTGGGCAACAGTTAGACTCTGTCTCAAGAAAAAAAAAAAAAAAGGCCGGGCGCAGTGGCTCATGCCTGTAATCCCAGCACTTTGGGAGGCCGAGACGGGTGGATCACAGGGTCAGGAGATTGAGACCATCCTGACTAACACGGTGAAACCCTGACTCTACTAAAAATACCAAAAATTAGCCGGGCGTGGTGGTGGGCGCCTGTAATCCCAGCTACTCGGGAGGCTGAGGCAGGAGAATGGCGTGAACCCGGGAGGCGGAGGTTGCAGTGAGCTGAAATTGCGCCACTGCACTCCAGCCTGGGCGACAGAGCGAGACTCCGTCTCAAAAACACACACACACACACACAAAAAACAGTACCGGAAGGGTGGCTCACAGATGGGCATGCAAACTGAGAAGAGTCCGGCTGCTCCACTGAGGATGTTGGCCCCTATTGTATAGGCAGAGGGGAACCACTGCAGCTGCATGAGCAGGACAGTTGCATCATCACAGTGGTGCTTTAAAAGAACAATTAGACAGCAGTCTGGAGGAAGATTCAGAGTGGAGTGGGATTGGAGTAGAGAAAGCGGTTATGCATACAAACAGTAATGCAAGGGTTCTCAGTATTGACTGCCTATGACAATCACCTAAAGAAGTTTTAAAAAAATACTCAGGTGCAGGCCAAACCCTCAGAGATTTTGATTCAGTTAGTCTGGGTTGAGGCTGGGAAAATGGTAGTCTTTAAAAGCTCCCCAGGTGATTCTAGAGTGCCACCAACGTTGGGACCACATCACTACATGGCAGTGTTTAAGAACACAGGCTCTTGTCTCCACAACTTACCAGAAAGCAGGAGATCTTGGGCAAGCTTAGTTGTTGTTGTCATTGTTGTTTTCAGACAAAGTCTTGCTCTTGTCCAGGCTGGAGTGCAATAGCGTGATCTCGGCTCACTGCAACCTCCGCATCCCGGGTTCAAGCGATTCTCCTGCCTCGGCCTCCTGAGTAGCTGGGATTACAGGTGTGCACCACCACGCCCAGCTAATTTTTATATTTTTTAAGTAGAGATGGGGTTTCATCATGTTGGCCAGGCTGGTCTCGAACTCCTGACCTCAGGTGATCCACCCACCTTGGCCTCCCAAAGGGCTGGGATTACAGGCACGAGCTACTGCGCCCAGCCAGTTACTTAGTATTTTTAAGCCTTTGGTTTTCTCACCTATAAAATGGGGATGATAATAGTTACCCCATTGATTAGTAATTATGATATAATATTTATTATAAAACAGTCAAACAAAAAGGAAAAATATAAGGTATATGTATGGTTTGAATAACCCCTTGAAAACAAATTTGATTGCTGTTGGCAAAAATATCTGTTTAATTGCAATTAAACAGTTTAAGAGGTAAAACCTTTATTTTTTATTTATTTGAGATGGGGGACTCACTCCGTTGACCAGGCTGGAGTGCAATGGTGTAGTCATGGCTCATTGCAGCCTTGACCTCCCAGGTTCAAGCAATCCTCCCATCTCAGCCTCCCAACTGAGACTGGGACCACAGATGCACATCACCATACCTGGCTAATTTTCACATTTCTTTTTTGCAGAGACAGGGTCTTGCTACGTTGCTCAGGATGGTCTCATAGAGATAGGTGATTAAGAGGTGATTAAAAGGTGATTAAGTTATGGCTCCACCTTCATAAATAGATTAATGCTGTTACCATGGGAGTGGTCTATTTGTCACAGGAATAGGCTCCTGATAAAAGGATAAATTCAGGCCCCATCTTTCTCTTTGTCTCACAGACTCTCTTGCCCTTCTGCCGTGGGATAATGCAACACAAGGCCCTCGCTGGATGCTGGTGCCATGCTCTTGCTCTTCCCAGCCTCCAGAACCATGAACCAAATAAATTTCTTTTCTTTATTAACTACCCAGCCTGTGGTATCCTTTTATAGCAGCAGAAAACAGATGTAGTTAGTATAGTATATAAGGATTTGAGCACTGTTTCTGACACAGAGTAAGCATTCAATACATAGCAGCTATCATTAATACACTGCAGTGACTCAGGAAAGAGATGATAAGGATTGGAACTAAGTCAGAGGCAGGGGAGATTGCAAGAAGATTATGCATTATCCAGATATTTCAAGAGAGTAGGTGAGGAAAAGAGAATAATTGAAGAGAACTCCATGATTTCAAGCTTGAACAACTCGAGAGATGTTGATGCCATCACTGAGTTTGGAGAAACAGGGATAGGATATAAAGCAAGGGGATAAGAAGTAAGTATTGGGATGGAGAAAATAAGTTGGATTAGATGTACTGAGTTGGAGGTACCTGTGGGTCATCGGGTGGAGACATCCAGCAGGAAGTTGGCATGATGGTCTGAGCTCAAGAAAGAGGTCTGGGCTGGAGGTATTTTTTTGGGGAGCCATGAACATATGAGTGGAAAGTTGAAGCTATAAAAGTAGATAATGGGCTGGGCGTAGTGGCTCATGCCTGTAATCCCAGCACTTTGGGAGGCTGAGGGGATCACCTGAGGTTGGGAGTTCAAGACCAGCCTGACCAACATGGAGAAACCCCGTCTCCACTAAAAATACAAAATTAGCTGAGCATGGTGGTGCATGCCTGTAATCCAAGCTACTCGGGAGGCTGAGGCAGAAGAATCGCTTGAACCTGGGAGGCAGAGGTTGTGGTGAGCCAAGATTGTACCATTGCGCTCCAGCCTGGGCAACAGAAGTGAAACTCTGTCTCAAAAGAAACCAAAAAAGTAGATGTTTATCAAAGAGAGTCTATTAGTGAGAATAGATGAAGGTTGAGTTTAGAACATGGGAAATGTCCAAATATATGGGGTGGATGGAAGGAAAAGGAATCTGCCCCCAGGAATAAGGTAGGGGATAGAAAGAATAGCAGGAATTATAAGGAAAACTAAGAAACAACTATTATCCACAGGAAAGGAAATAAGCCTGGGATAGAAAAAAAGTCTAGTTGGGAGCATTGAGCAAAATAACAAAATTTTTTTACTTAGTCACTTTGATTCAATTTAATAGGATGCTCTTAAAAGACTTTAAAGTTTTTTTCATTTTGCCCACTGCTTCCAAAGGCCATCTTTTCATTCCATATCTAGATGGCAGATACTGGAGCAGAAGCAGTGGCAAAAAGCCTCAGTCACATCTTGCCCTGCGGTAGTCCTGTGCAGGGATGGCATGAATAACTGTAGGAGGCAAAGGAGCAAGCATACCCTTTATACCCTGAGACCCTTGCTCAAAGCTGTCAGTATCTAGCCTGGGAAAGGCTTTTGCTGCCCATCATGCCTCTCAGGCTTTTTGGTACTCAAAGAACCTAGATGACCCTTTTCATCTGTATCAGGAAGCCACTTTTGGACCCTACTGTCAGCACCATCATCTTACTCCTCTCCACCAGGAGGACATATCTTCAAAGTAGCTCCTTCCTACCAGAAAGTTTGGACAATCAGGCCACTCACTGAGTTCAGAGAGACTTCAGAAGTGGCAGCCTAGGGAATCAGTACTCTGTAAGTGGCCTGGGCACCAGAGGCTGTGGGAGACTTTTTGAAGCTCATGTCTGATAGTAATGGTTCTCAAAGATTGACCCCTGGGCCAGCAGCAGCATCTGGGAAACTTATTAGAAATGCAGATTCTCAGGACTCATCCCAGGCCTACTGAATCAGGAGCTCTGGGGGTAGGACCCAGCAGTCTGTGTTTTTAATAAGCCTTCTCAAGTTTGAGAACCACTGTCCTGTATAAACAGGACTAGAAACACCAAGGTTAGGAATCTGTCTCCTTTTTTCTCTGTATCTCTCCCTAGTACACAATTCTTCAGGTAGTAGACTTAATAAATGTTGTTCAGCAGGTGTTTATTGAGGATGTAGTATGTGGAAAACTGTAACGTTGAAGCCAAACACACACACACACACACACACGCACACACACACATTCATTTGCACATACTCACACACGAGACTTTTTCTTTGGGACTCTATAATTACATATACAAGAGTTAGATCAAAGATAGATCAAGGCTGGGCACAGTATCTCATGCCTGTAATCTCAACACTTTGGGAGGCTGAGGTGGGAGGATTACCTGAGGTCAGGAGTTCAAGACCAGCCTGGCCAACGTGGTGAAACCCTGCCTCTACTAAAAATACAAAAATTAGCCAAGCGTGGTGGCACACACCTGTAATCCTAGCTACTCAGGAGGCTGAGGCAGGAACCTGGGAGGTGGAGGTTGCAGTGAGCTGAGATCCCACCACTGTACTCCAGCCTCAGTAACAGAATCAGACTCTGTCTCAAAAAAAAAAAAAAAAAAAAGATCAAGACAAGGTATTAGGATTGTAATGAGTAGGCTATAAATGATACCACAGGGCAGATCCAGAATGTAGGACATTCTACAGGCCTATTAACTTGAGGGGAAAAGTAGAGGAGAGACTACTCTAGCTTAAAAGGAGTTAAAGGGCTGGGTGTGGTGGTTCACACCTGTAATCCCAGCACTTTGGGAGACTGAGGCAGGAGGACTGCTTGAGGACAAGACTTAGAGGCCAGCCTGGGCAACATAGCAAAATCCTGGGACAGACACGGTGGCTCAGGCCTGTAATCCCAGCACTTTGGGAGGCCGAGGCAGGTGGATCACTTCAGGTCAGAAGTTCAAGACCAGCCTGGCCAACATAGAGAAACCCTGTTTCTACTAAAAATATAAAAATTAGCTGGGCTAGGTGGTGTGCACCTGTAATCCCAGCCACTCTGGAGGCTGAGGCAGGAGAATTGCTTGAGCCTGGGAGGCGGAGGCTGCAGTGAGCCGAGATCACGCCACTGCACTCCAGCCTGGGTGACAGAACGAAATCATCTCAAAAAAAAAAAAAACAAAAAAAACCATATCTACAAAAAATACAAAAATTAGCCAGGCATGGTGGTGCATGTCTGTAGTCCAGCTACTCAGGAGGCTGAGGTGGGAGGATCGCTTGAGCCTGGGAGGTTCAGGTTGCAGTGAGCAGTGATTGTGCCACTGCACTCCAGCCTGGGTGACAGAACGAAATCATCTCAAAAAAAAAAAAAAAAAAGATTGAAAAGAGACCTCACAGACATAACCAAGTACAATCCTCCCAAAGTGCTGAGATTACAGGTGTGAGCCACCATGCCCGGGATTACAGGCGCCTGCCACCATACCCGGCTAATTTTTGTATTTTTAGTAGAGACAGGGTTTTGCCATGTTGGCCAGGCTGGTCTGGAGCTCCTGACCTCAGGTGATCTGCCTGCCTTGGCTTCCCAAAGTGCTGGGATTACAGGCATGAGCCACCGCACCTGGTTCTGAAAATGAACTTTTAAAAAGAACAATTTGGGAAACTTCAATATAGACTGTAGATAAGAAGGAATTATCAATTTTTGGCATTGTGGTGATAGAAGAAAATACCCTTTCTAAGATGCATGCTAAAGTATTTGGGAGTAAGTTGACATAACACCTATAATTTGCTTTAAAATGCTTCAGCAGGCTGGGCGCGGTGGCTCACGCCTGTAATCTCAGCATTTTGGGAGGCCGAGGCGGGTGGATCACAAGGTCAGGCAAGTTCAAGACCAGCCTGGCCAACATGGTGAAACCCCATCTCTACTAAAAATACAAAAATCAGCTGGGCATGGTGGCACATTCCTGTAATCCCAGCTACTCGGGAGGCTGAGGCAGGAGAATTGCTTGAACTGGGACCCAGGAGGCAGAGGTTGCAGTGAGCCAAGATCGTGCCACTGCACTCCAGCCTGGGGTACAGTGAGACTCTGTCTCAAAAAAAGAGAAAGAAAAAAAACTTCAGCCAAAAAGCAAAAAGGTGGGGAGGTAAAGGGAGGATAGATTAAATACGTATGGCAAACTTGATGGCTATTGAAACTGGTTGATGGGGTCATAGGGGTTTTTATGTAAGTCTGAAAATTTTTATAATAAAAGTGGTTTGTTTGTTTTTTATTTTTTTTTTAACACACTTGCACATCATCTGTAGCTTGTCTGTTTTTTAATGAATGGCGTAGACACTGATGGTGGAGTTCAGACGAGGGTGTAGTAGCAAAGACTAGAACCACTACAGAAAGATTTGCGGGGGAGATGGAAGTGTGCATTTCCTTCCTCCCTTCCTCCCTCCCTCCCTCTCTCCCTTCCTGTGTTACCATCTCCCATACCAGGTAGGGTGCGGTATTAAAACAGCATGGCAGGAGTGTGGGTATCTTTTGGGGAGGTGGGAGATTGCCTGGGGAAGTTGGTGGCCAGAATGGAGAGGAATGTGGGGAATGCCAGGCTGGGCACCCGGCTGGACCTTGTACTGAAGCCAGTGATGAGGCTTCTGTGCAAAGAGAGTGATGCAACCTGTGTTCCAGGCAGATTAATGTGGATAATGCTGGCGTGAGTCCGAGAGGTCTGGTAAGGGGCTGTTACCCAGGTCCAGGCATGAGGAAGGGATAAAAGCTTGCATTGTACAGAAGTGACAGTGACAAGAGACATTTCAGATGAATCAAGAATCAGCAGAATCTGCTGGTGACCATTTATGAAGCTAGTATGGGTGAGGCAAAGTAGTACTTGAACAATGGGATAAATGGCTGTCCTGTTTAATGGAAATAAGGAAACTGAGATGATTTGGGAGATGAGGATTAGGGGTTGATTTTGAACGTGCAAAATGGGTGGAAACAGAACAACCAAGCTGAGATATTTCAAACAACAGATTGTTCCAAACAATAGGCTATTTCAGGGGTGAGATGAGGAGACTCAGAATCAAATAGATCCACTGGGATGAAATCGTTCACCCCGGCCCCTTTCCCATATAAAACCTGATTGAAGTTTGAGGATGAAGGTCTGAAAATGAATCTGGGAAAGTGAGTGGTCTAGCCAAGATGGAACTATGGGGGAGGGTGAGGAGACAAGTTGGTGTCTCCACAGGTGCTGAAGAAACCTCGCTTTTGACATCCTGCTCTCCTGTGACTTTGCTTCCTGTTGTGATAGGAGAACCTGCCCAGTGTTCCATGGGGCATGGCTCTAGAGTCATTCTGTTTACACCGAGCTGCCTCTCGGTTGGATAACTGTGTGGCTGAAGAACGACACGGAGCATTAAGCTAGGCCCCCGAGAGTGGGGACCAGCTCTATTTCCCCTGTCCCAAGTACACAGGATATAACGTGCCCTCCCTGGAGATGTCCACAGGGTGCTGCTGACCTCCCAGGTCCCTGCCTCACAGAACAGGGGGATTCTCTTCCTGTCATGACTATTTAGTTACTGGGCTAACAAACAAGAAAAAGTCACATGGGGCAGGATTTCAAGAGCAGAGTTACTTCAGTTGCCTGTGGAAATAACACCAGGTTGTGCAAGAAGACTTTTAGGCTGAAAAAGGCATGTTAAATCTTGGTCTGATGGTCTGACCATCTGAAAAACACAGCCCGTTTTTTCTTTTTTGGAGCTGCAGATAGGACAATGATGAGACCGTACCTCTCTCATGCCCCACAAAAGACACAAAAAGAGAGAGGCCTGAGTTTTGTGATACCCGAGAAGATTTGCATTGGTTTATCTGAGTCCTCATTTTCAGCAAATGACAGCAAGAGGCCAATAAGACACAAAGGGATTTTTTTTTTCTTTTTTTGCTCAACTGCCTTCCTTCCTGCTAAAAATCTCTCAAGCTCTGCCCATCCCTCTTCTTTACCCCACCCTGTCCCTACCACAAACCCACTTCCTCCTCAAAGTCCCAGCCCTCCCACTAGCACACTCTTTCTCCCCTGCCCCTTCTGCTCCCCTCCCATGGCTGCTAGCTCAGGGGTCATGCCCAGGCAGCCTGATGCAGGCCAGGATTCTCACTTCACTCAGCAGCCCCCAACAAAGCTGGCACTGTCTAACTGGGTCACCTTGGGAGAAGGCAGGCAGGAGTGACTGGGGTTGTGTCCTGAGAGCACGGCCAACATGGCCCTGTCTTGTTGTAATCACTTTCAATATGGCTTCTTATTATCACTATTTACAATATTATGAATGTATGAAGAAGAGCTACCACCAAGTGAGTACCTACTGTCTTCCAAGCATAGTGCTCCACACATTACATGCCTTTTCTCCTTTAATCACCCCGCAAACACATGAAGTAGCAGCTATCACAATACCCTTTTTAAACATGAGGAAATAAGGTTTAGAGAGGTTAAGCAACTTGCCCAAGACCAGGTAGCACCAAGCGGCAGCACTGGGATGCAGATTCAGATGTGCCTAGTTCCCAGCCCCCTCCTCTTAACCATCTTGACATAGGCTTGAGTGGCATTTATCTTGACTTATTCCCACCTAATGAAGTAGGAAGACCATTCAAACAGGAAGCCATCTGGGGTGAGGGGAAGCTGGTCACTGGGGATCTGGGGTCAGACTGCCCAGAAACCATGGGGATCTAGAAATGGTCATCTGCAGAGTAGCCTGCTCTTTCTCAAGGGAGTTGTGGCCAAGCTCTATCTTTGCCAGGCCTCTGGGCTAATATCCTAGTTGGTTTAGTGGTAATAGGGCCAAGGTCACGAATCTGATTCCTTTGTGGGCCAGTGAACTTCCATCCACTCCAGTGTCACAGGCAGCACTCCTAACTTTGACCAACGGTTCTCAACTTCAGACCATTGGATGAGAATAAAAATGGTTTAGGCCGGGCGTGGTGGCTCATGCCTGCAATCCCAGCCTTTGGGAGGCTGAGATAGGGGGAATGCATGAGCCCAGGAGTTTGAGACCAGCCTGGGCAACATAGTGAGACTCCATCTCTGCAAAAAATACTTTTAAAAACAATTAGCTGGGGATGGTGGTGTGCACCTATAGTCCCAGCTACTCAGGAGACCGAGGTAGGAAGATCACTTGCGCCTAGGAGGTCGAGGCTGCAGTGAGCCAAGATTGTGCCACTGCACTCCAGCCTGGGTGACAGAACAAGACCCTGTCTCAAAACAACAACAACAAAAAAATGGTTTAACACAACTCTTTAATTTTTTTAAATAAATAACCCATAAAAGCATGTACTCTGCAGATGGATGGGCAAGAGTTACAACCCTTATATAAAAACTGTTTTCTATTTGCAATAGAAGAGACCTGGTATCTCAGTGAATCCCAATCCCTGAAAGGACAAGCTCCAAATTTACTCCTTCTCTCCCAAAAGGTATTACTGGGAAATGGTAGAAGTGTTCCAATCCAGTTGAGATATCACATTTTAATTGTTTTGAGCTGGTTGAGGTCACGACACACAACGTTCTCATCAGGTGTCTCTGAGACAAAAGCAAAATCTTAATGTTCAGTAACTCAGCACAGATCCAGTACAGGACACAGAACACTGTGGAAATGAATACTATGAGGAAAAGCTATACAAACTGGCCTCTTGTAGAGATGGCTGCAGACTGTAGGGATTGTGAATGATCCCAAACAGGCTCTGGGCCAATGAAGGAGGCAACCTCCACTGTGTACACAGCACTGCAGTGGGCTTGGTGGAGAGCCATGGCCGTCTGTGAACTTTGGCCTGAACTTTGGAGGAGACAGAGCACACATGCATGCATGCAAAAACAGACAGAAACATGCAACCAAAACATTGTGTACGTAATGGTGGGAGGGCAGAGAGACAAAGCGAAAAGAACCAAGTGGATTTAAACAAGAAACAAATATCTGGCTGGGCGCGGTGGCTCACGCCTGTAATCCCAGCACTTTGGGAGGCCGAGGCGGGTGGACCAACTGAAGTCGGGAGTTCGAGACCAGCCTGACCAACATGGAGAAACCCCACCTCTACTAAAAATACAAAATTAGCCAGGCGTGGTGGCACATGCCTGTAATCCCAGCTACTCAGGAGGCTGAGGCAGGAAAATCGCTTGAACTCAGGAGGCGGAGGTTGCGGTGAGCCGAGATTGTGCCATTGCAGTGCAGCCTGGGCAACAAGAGCGAAACTCCATCTCAAAAAAAGAAAGAAAAAGAAAGAAGGAAAAACAAATTTCCAAAAGAGGAAAGAGGGAGAGCATGGAGCTTGGAGCTGAAGATTCCAAGTCTAGATGGAGAGAATAATGTGAGTCTGTGTGTAGACACAGGACCGAGCTCCTAGGGTGCCAGTGGAGCTCCAGGCCTGTGCCCAGGAGAGAACTGGAGATGAGGCCAGCTCTAGTCTATGGCATTGTGCAATGCCAGTTGGTTGGGATGGTTCTACCCCCAATCTATACCAAATTAATTAATTCATCAACATTTATTGAGTGTCTACAAGTGACTGGCATTGTACAAGTCACAGAAATATAATGATGCTTAATAAATAGTTTTACCTTCAAAGAGTCTATGATCCAGTCTAGTTGGGGACAAAAAAGCAAAGAGATGATTACAGTATCCTGTGACTATGATAGAGATCTGCCTGGGGTGCTCAGAGGTAACAGAGGGGGGAGATTGAGCTCAGGACAGTGTCAAGGATGGTGGTACCTGAGTTATCTTGAAGAACACATAGAAAATAGATGGTAAAGAAGGTGGGAAAAAGGCAATCTTAGAGCTCAATCTGGGCAAAGGCATAAAAGAGAGTTCCCACCTCACTGGGAACTGTAAGCAGTGTTTAGTGACAGGGAGTGTTGAGAAATGATTTTGAAGATACAGGCAGAACCAAATTTGAATTTAAATGTCAGACCAAGGATGCAGTGGGAAGCATTGTTCAGATGAAAGGTTTTAAGCAAGGAAATACTAGTGTTAGCATTTAATCCTGAGTTGTAGTCATGGATATAGGGTGAGAAGATAGAACAGCTTTTATGGTAAATAAGTACAACACCCCTCCTCAATGTCTACCCTTTCTCCCAGCAAGCCTGCTATCTCCAACATTTCCTTTTCCTCATGCCCCTTGTACTACTCAACACATATCAAAAATGCTGGGAAAGTCAGCCTAATTCTACTTCCACTAAGGAACATCAGCAGGCCTGGTGTGGCACTTAAAACGGCCTCGAATTAACTCCAAAGTGCCCTCTAAAGTTACCCAGGAGACCGAGAAGTGATTTGTTAGGAAGATGCCATCCAAAGTCTTACAAATATCTTTTACCTGCCAGTCCAAAATCTCAGGAAAATGGTAGACTCCTGAGTCAGCATAGTCATAATTTTTTTTTTTTTTTGAGACAAGGTCTTGCTCTGTTGCCCAGGCTGGAGTGCAGTGGCATAATCACAGCTCACTGCAGCCTTGACCTCCTGAGCTCAGGTGATCCTCCCACCCTAGCCTCCTGAGTACCCAGGACTATAGGCATGTACCACCACACCTAGCTAATATTTTCATTCTTTGTAGAGATGGGTTCTCACCATATTGCCCAGGCTGATCTTGAACTCCTGGGCTCAAGCAATCCTCCTGCCTTAGCCTCCCAAATTGCTGGAATTACAGGCATGAGCTACCTCGCCAGGTCTCATAATCTTGATGTTAGCCCAGAACAATCTGTGACTAGGTAGGATGGATGGATGGATAGATAGATAGATAGATAGATAGATAGATAGATAGATAGATAGATAGATAGATCAGCCAGTACTAGTTTTGGCTTCACAATCATATCCTGCTACCAAATTTTCCTTTTCAACAGCTGCCGTCTTAAAGTTGTAAGAACTTTAACCTATTTATATCTGATTGGTTTTGCCTCTAAAGTGATTAAAATGCCCATTTGATTTCCAAGATGCTGTGGGTATTAGGGGCACAGGCTAGCTTTTCAAATGGGTTTGTCTCTTTCAAAACAGGAAGCAGCATTGTCCAAGTTCATTAAAAATCAGCATTGGAGAACACTTACTGAGTGCCTAATTATGTAATCAGATTTTGGCCTGGGGCTGGGAATAACATTTCAAAGAGAGAGGAAGAGTCTGGCTGAACCTGGTTGGATTTAAAAAAAAAAAAAAAAAAAGCAAGAGTGAAAGATCAAGCCAGCTGGGTCCCTATCCATGTATGCTGGTCTCTGTTAGTTCCATGTCCTTGAGCCAGGTGGCCAAGGTAACTAGACTTGGCATGTCCTACTTCCCCAGATCCAGAAATTAGCGATCCTTTCCCAGGGATAGTGTCAGACCCCTTTCAGGTGTGATTGTCATTGGGGCATCATGCCTAGTGGGAACAGACTAACTTTGAATAAAAAAATTTTGAGGCGGTAAGACATGTCTGTATTTTTCAAACTCAAATGAGTTGATACCCAGCCCAACTCATACTGCGGTTGGTGACAAGAACTGAATCACACCTCTCCTGACTTCCACCATGCTGTCTCCTTTTCTCCTTGCCAATTCACTATCACCTTGGAGCCACAAAAATGCAAAACAAACCTGAACCTTGTGTTGTGAGGTAAGCCCATGAGTCATGGTTGAACAGCAGTTTCTTTTTCTCCATGTTAGCTGTGTTTTTCCTTCACTGTGGCCCAAACAAGCATCAACTTGGTGACATCAATTCATCATGTTATGGAGTAGGCACTGTGTTTGGAGATGGTAGATTCTGCAATGACTCAGGTGGTAGGGTATTTTCTTCTGATAGAGTACCCAGGAGGGATTTATGAGTTCAGAAGGCAGTAGAGTAGGGCACCTGCTTTCATTCACTGTCAGGTGGTCAGCAAAAACTTCAAGCAGAAGAAAGAATTTCAAAACATGTTAAATGCCTGGGTGTGGGGAAAGCTCCCAGGGCAAGAGGAAGGCAACTCTCAGAATGAGCTGCCTGAGATTTGCAAGATAATTGATTGGCTGAGGCCTTGTGGCACCTTCTAAAATTGGGTGTGGCTGGAAATAGCTGTTGGGGGAACCATGGGAAAGACAGAGCTCTGCTTTGAGTTCCAGGACTGTCCTGCAGGGCAGGTGTCCACTATGCTCCTAATCTCTGCTCTGTCCTTAGCCACCACCTCCGCCCTTCTTTTTCCATATCAGCTGTACTCAGCCCTTTCAAGCTTATCTCAAACTTTTGCATAAAACTCCTTCTATCCCGTGATACTTTTTGTCCTTTACAGAGTATACCCAGATCTCCAGGGTCAAAACTCCTTTTTCCCTTCCAATTTTTCCAAATGTTCCCACTTGGTGGCCAAATGTTTTTTTGAGCAATTATCATGTGCTGTTGGGAAATTCACAAGTTATAAAACAGTCACTGTAGCCTGACCAGGGAGACATACAGGTGATAATATTAAACAATAATACAAAGTAGTATAGGATTACCTGACAAAAATATACAATGGGTGGGAAATGTCTCAGGAATTTAGAGGGTTAGGAGATTATACTGGGGCTGGAATCCACAGTGAGGGCCTCATGGAAAAGCAAAATTTCAGTCTAGCTGGTGAGTGAGTGGGGCTAGGAAGGCTTTAAGTAAGGCAAGTTTAGGGAACATATACTTGGAGAGACAGTTTTATGGTAGGGGATAATAAAAATAATGTTTAACAACTAAAGAGCACCTTATAATTTACAACTTTTCTCACACACACATACACACGCACACACAAACACAATTGAATTTAAGAGGGGCAAGATAAGCCAGATAACAGAACCTTCTGAATATCATCAAAGATCTGGAAGTTTCAGCAATGTTGTGGTCACCTACCTCCTGCCAAGCAATCTTGTATATCGTATCTCATTTAATTCAAGAAGTAGTCTTGTGAGGTAGATGTTGTTATCACCATTTTACATATGAGTAAATTAATGGTTAAGGAACTTCTCAAGATCACATAGTTAATAATAATAATAATAGCAATTACACATGGTAATCACTATATGCCAGACACTATTTAAGTATTCTTACAACAACTCTATAAAGTAAGAACTCTTGTTAACCCCATTTTTAGATGGGAAAAACTGAAGTGTGGAGATGTTAAAACACCTGCCTAAGGTATACAACTAAGAAATGTCAGAAACTAGCCACAAATGTGAGACATATACATAATTTTAAATGTTCTAGCAGCCACATTAAAAAATAAAAAGAAACAAGTAAAATTAATTTTAATAATACATTTTATTTAACCAAATATCTCCAAAGTATTTTAAAATTCATTTTTATGTTTTATGTTTTTAGAGACAGTCTTGCTCTGTCACCCAGGCTGAAGTGCAATGGTGCAATCATAGCTTATTGCAGCCTCAAACTCCTAGGCTCAAGGGATCCTCCCACCTCAGCCTCCTGAGTAGCTTGGACTACCATGCCCAGCCAAAATATTATTTCAACATATAATCCATATTAAAAATTATTAAATATATATTATATTCTTTTTAATGTGAAATCTCTGAATTGAGTATTTTTAAACATACAGCATATTTCAATTCAAATGCTAAATTTGCATCAGAAATATTTGATCTGTATATTTCACACACTTTATAGTTTTAAAAAATAGATTCACATACCCAAGTTATTCCAAACATACTTAAAAGTTTTCCAATAACTAAGTTGAGTACCAAAAATAATTTTCTTTTAACATTTACATCCATATTGTCAAATCTGGTTTCTTTATTTTTAGAAGAATTAACTTGACTTTAAAGCAAACTTATTATCAGTTTCAAATTATGTCTGTTTAATTCAGTAACTCTTGTGTCAACTCAGTATTATTAAAGTTGAATTCAAAGGGGTATTACATAAGTTGAAAATAAATGATACATTCATCAATTATATAATGTATTCATATTCTTAGTTTCACAACAAATTTGCATAATACTGTTTATTATAATGAAAATTTGCATGTTAATTTGTTAGAAGAATGTATAAGATTGTTATTGATTTGTATTACGAAAAATTTTAGTTTCAACATAGATTTTTGTACTTGTCTAGCTAGGTCATGGATAAGACTTTTCCTTTCCTCGAAGCTTCAAATTTAGCTCATTCATATGCTGTGTGATATCAATGAGAAAACAAAATCACACTGCTGTTTTTGGTCTTTTATTATTAAATATTTGGAAAGTATTCCTTTTGTTTCAAGAAAATTTTAAATGAGAATTAACAGTACATTAAACCTTTGTAAAGATCTCTCCACTACTCAACCAATGGGCATTGGAAAAGAGCACAAGATCATTACATTTACTTTCTTTTATGTATTTCTACAGTTCTACGAGCTGATGATTCATAGCATTTGCACATATATTTAACAACTGTATCATGACACTGTTCAGAAAACTGAACATAAATATCTTCAATATGTATAAGAGCAACAAAGTAATAGAAGAAATATCAGTTTCTTGCTTTAAAATTGCAATAAATCTAGACTTTTGATTTAACATAGCCAGAGCACCCTTCTTTGTGATAGAATCTGTGTTATATCTAGCTGACTGTTTTCTTTGACAGGAATAAAAGACTCAAAAACATCTACACCAGTCAGTTCACTAAATAGGCTGCAAAATAGCAATACTTGTTTTTTATAAGTTTGAAAGTCCTTTTAAGACAAAACACATTCAAAGTATTAATTGAGCAGGTCCTCTTATATAACTTCTCAAAGTAGAAGAAAGTCCTTGTAATTTTCCAAAACTTAAATCAATTGAACTTTGGTATTGTTAGAAAAATTTTGTATTCAATAGGCAGTTGTTTGGCAGGTTAAATTGAAGGGCTTTCATTCCCCTCCTCCCAGTTTTACTGAGGTATAATTAACAAAAATCGCATATATTTAAGATGTATGATGCGATGATTTGATATACGTATATATTGTGAAATGACTACCACAATCAAGCTAACATACCTATCACCTCACATAACAACGCTTTTTTGTGTGTGTGGTGAGAACACTTAAGATAAACTCTGTTAGCAAATTTTAAGTATACACTACATTATTATTAACTATAGTCATCATGCTATACATTAGATCTTCAGAATTTATTGATCTTATAAAGGAAAGTTTGTACCCTTTGACCAGTATCTCCCTATTTCCCTCACCCTCCATCCCTGGTAACAACCATTCAACTCACTGTTTTTATTTTATTTATTTTTAATTGTTATTATTTTATTTATTTATTTATTTTTTGAGATGGAGTCTTGCTCTGTCACCCAGGCTGGAGTGCAGTGGCACAATCTTGGCTCACGGCAACCTCTGCCTCCCAAGTTCCAGCGATTCTCCTGCCTCAGCCTCCCGAGTAGCTGGGACTACAGGCATGCGCCACCACACCCAGCTAATTTTTGTATTTTTTAGTAGAGACAGGGTTTCACCACATTGGCCAGGCTGGTCTCAAACACTTGACCTTGTGATCCACCCGCCTTGGCCTCCCAAAGTGCTGGAATTACAGGTGTGAGCCACCGTGCCCGGCCTATTTTTTTTTTTTTTTCAGACTGAGTCTCGCTGTGTTGCCCAGGCTGGAGGGCAGTGGCGCAATCTCGGCTCACTGCAACCTGTGCCTCCCAGGTTCCAGCGATTCTCCTGCCTCAGCCTCTTGAATAGCTGGGACTACAGGCACACGCCACCACACCCAGCTAATTTTTGTATTTTTAGTAGAGATAGGGTTTCACCATATTGGCCAGGCTGGTCTCGAACTCCTGGCCTCAGGTGATCCAGCAGCCTTGGCCTCCCAAAGTGCTGGGATTACAGTCATGAGCCACCATGCCTGGCCAACCCACTGTTTTTATGTTTGACTTTTTTAGATTTCACATAAGTGAGGTCACACATTATTTGCCTTTCTGTGTCTAGCTTTTTTCACTTAGCATAATGTCCTCCAGGTTCATCTATGTTGTCACAAATGACAGGATTTTCTTTTATTTTTTAGGCTGAATAATATTCCTGTGTGTGTGTATCATATTTTCTTTATCAATTCATCTATCAATGGTCATATAATGCTGCAGTGAATGAAGTGCCGATATCTCTTTCAGATACTGATTTCATTTCCTTTGGATATATACCCAGAAATGGGGTTGCTTGATCATACGATAGTTCTATTTTTTGATTGTTTTAGGAACCTCTGTGCTGTTTTCCGTAATGGCTGTACTATGCTTTAACTTTTTGTAAAATATATTTTACATTTTTTCTTATACTTTTCCACCAATATATCCATGACTAAAATAATAATTTCTTTTATTACCTCTCTATCTAAAAATGACTTTCTTTTTTGTGTAAGAATCTATGTCATCTTATAGTAGGCCAACATTATATGCTCAGATACCGCGAAAAATTGTTTAAAATATTTGTTGGGCATATAATTCTAATTTCAGGCAACCAATATTAATTCTTTTTTAACTGCTGAGAGTAAATGTCTTACCAAGTTCACTATATATTTGCTGAAAATGTCTCATACTATTGTTTACTTCTTTTTTTGGGTGGGGGGATGGAGTCTTGCTCTGTTGCCCAGGCTGGATTGCATTGGTGCCATCTTGGCTTACTGCAACCTCTGCCTCCTGGGTTCAAGCCTGCCTCAGCCTCCCAAGTAGCTGGGAGTACAGGCGTGTGCTCCATGCCTGGCTAATTTTTGTATTTTTAGTAGAGACGGGGTTTCGCCATGTTGGCCAGGCTGGTCTCGAACTCCTTTCCTGAAGTGATCCACCTGCCTCAGCCTCCCAAAGTGCTGGGAGTACAGGTGTGAGCCACCGCACCCGGCCTGTTTACTTTATATTTTTAAATAAAATAAACAGCTTTTAAATTTTGCTCTGCTGCAGCAAATTGCAATTGCTGTTCACTTTGTAAATTTGTGACTTGACTTCTTCCAGTCTCTTTTTTGTTGAGACAGTGTCTGCTGTGTCGCCCAGGCTGGATTGCAGTGCCCCAATCATGGTTCACTGCATCCTCAACTTCCTAGGATCCAGCGATCCTCCCACCTCTGCCTCCCAAGTAGCTGGGACTACAGGTGTGCATCACCATGCCTGGCTAACTTTTTGTATTTTTTGTAGATATGGGGTTTCATTATGTTGCCCAGGCTGGTCTCAAACTCCGAGGCTCAAACGATCCTCCTGTCTCAGCCTCCCAAAATGCTGGTATTATAGGCATGAGCCACCGCACCCTGCCAGTCTCTTTTCTTTTCCTTCTTTTTGAGACAGAGTCTTGCTCTGTCGCCCAGGCTGGAATGCAGTGGCAGTGGCACAATCTAGGCTCACTGCAACCTCCACCTTCTGGGTTCAAGGGATTCTCCTGTCTCAGCCTCCTGAGTAGCTGGGATTACAGGCGCGTGCCCCCATGTCTGGCTAATTTTTGTATTTTTAGTAGAGACTATTTTGGTATAGGGCTTCACCATCTTGGCCAGGCTGGTCTCGAACTCCTGATCTCAGGGGATCTGCCCGCCTCATCCTCCCAAAGTGCTGGGATTACAGGCGTGAGCCACTGTGCACAGCCCAGTCTCTTTTCTTTACGGTCCCAGTCAAAGTACTTATTAGCTACTGAATCCCTATTCAATTCTGTATCGGTAGAATGTCTTCATTTTAAATATTAAAAATTTTCCATACTCACTTTTTAAACTAAAAACCTAGTTTATTATATAATAATTAAAATTAAAATATGCATTTTAATTATTTATATTATTGTTATATATTATTTATATTATTGTTTATATTAATTATTTATATTATTGTTACAATGTAACAATATTTTCCACACTGTGTTTAATGGAAAAATGATTTTCAGTGTCTCAGGTTTTTGATTAAAATTAAATATAAAATTCAATTCCTCAGTCACACTAGTCACATTTCAAATGCTCAGTAGCCACATTTGTCTAGTGGCTAACATATATTCGACAACACAGCTCTAGAATGTCTCTTAGTGGCAGAAGCTGAGCTATGATTCAAATCTTGATTCTAAGTCAGTATCCCTTCCTCTACCCCTCATTGCCTCTCAAGCAAGGAGTTCTGGCTGCTAGGAGACATCCTTGTGGCCTCCCAGGTTCAAGGTCTATAAACTGGGTCAAGAGATCCAACCAAGACTCCAGGCAAGTAAGAGGCTGAAAGGAGAGGCACGGGTCTACTGAGAAGTGAAAGGAGACAAGTGAAGCATAAACCACTTCTGATAGTTGTGGTCCAAGGACACACAAAGACCTAGGCTCAATAAAAGCAAGAAAAAGCAGAAAAGAATGGAGCTTCAAGTTCAGTTCTGAGATGACCGTTGTCCAAAAATGAGGTAAGAGGAAAGGCTGAAAGCTGGAGATGCCCTTCTATTCTTTTATTCTCATGAGTTTCTCTCCTTACTCTGCAGTTTGTCTGCACCTTCCAGTATTTGGTTCCTCCAGATGGCCCATCTCTTCTCTTTTCTTTTAGTGTTTGTGCCTTCTAGGTGGGTTTCTATTTTTTCACAAGTTGTACAGTTCCCTACGTTTTGCAAACCTTTCCCTCTCCTCCCTGGACTAGTGCCTTTAGGTCCAGTCCATTCAGAAAATCACTCCATTATTAAAAATACTCAGAATGCACTTTCTACCTAAATTGATTTTTATTCTACTTGGGGTTTGTTGGATTTCTTGAATGTGTGAGTTTATAGTTTTCATCAAATTTGAAAAATGTTCTGCCATTATTTCTTCAAATAGTATTTCTGTTCTCTCAGCCCTCTTTTAGGATTTTAGTGACACTATTTTAGACCATTTGACTTTTTCTCATGGGTAACTGATGTTCTATTTGTCTTTTTTTTTTTTTTTGATAGGAGAATATGCGATTGGGTAACAAGAACTATAAAAAAACTATTGTCAATATGTTTAAGAATTTAAGGGAAAACATAAAAAATGTTGAGGAACAAAATGGAAACTATAAAAAAGAATACAATGGAATTTCTAGAGTTGAAAAGTACAATATCTGAAATTAAAAATTCATTGAATGGGCTATCTCACTCTGTTCCCCAGGCTGGAGTGCAGTGGGGCAATCTTGGCTCACTGCAACCTCCGCCTCTCAGGTTCAAGTGATTTTCATGCCTCAGCCTCCCAAGTAGCTGGGACTACAGGTGCATGCTGCCACGCCCAGCTAATTTTTTTGTTATTTTTAGTAGAGACAGGGTTTCACCATGTTGGCTAGGCTGGTCTCAAACTCCTGGCCTCAAGTGATCCTCCTGCCTCGGCCTCCCAAAGTGCTGGGATTACAGGCATGGGCCAATGTGCCTAACCTGTCTTTTTCTCTTTTCTTCTAGTTTTCATCCTCTCTGCCATATGGATAGTTACTGTTGCTATATGTTCAAGTCCACTGATCTTTTCTTCTTCATTACTTAAGCTGCTGTTAAGCCCATTCAATAAATGTTTTATTTCAGATATTGTACTTTTCAGCTCTAGAAATTCCATTGTATTCTGTTTTATAGTTGCAATTTTGCTCAACATTTTTATGTTTTCCTTTAAATTCTTAAACATATTGACAATAGCTTTTTTTATAGTTCTTGTTACCCAATTGCATATTCTTCTATTATTTCTGGGTCTGTTTCTGTTAACTGATTTTTTTTCTCTCGTTTATGAACCACATTTTCCTTCTTCTTTGGATATCTAGTAATTTTTGATTGGATGTTGGATACTGGATTTCTATATGGCTTGGTGTCTGGTCAAAACTAGCAGATCAGTTTGATCTTTTTTGATGCTTGCTTTTAAGATTGGTTAGGGAAGGTCTAGAGTAGCCTTTACTTTAGGGCTAGTTTTGCCCTACTGCATATACATGAAGCCCTTCTGGGGTCTTTTCTGAATGCCACAGGGGTTCAACAAGGTCTCTCCATTCTCCCTGGTTGGAACTAGAATGTTTCCCAGCCCAGTGGGAGCTCAGGAAATTGTTTAGCTTACAGCTCCCTAAGAGTTTTTTTAGTTATTTATTTTTGCCCAGTGTCATGGAGTTGCATGGACTCAAGGGGGCTCAAGATTTCTGGAGCTCTTTCTCTGCATACCTCTGTCTTCTCTGGTATTCTGCCTCACAAATTCCAGCCTCCTCAGTCTCCTCAAACTCTGATCTTTTTTGTCCTCCTCATAGCAAGATTGTCATGTCTACTTGGGTCCCCTTCTTTGTGGTCTGGAAAGTGCCTCCAGGCAGAAAGCCAGGAATATTGTAGGGATCTTTTCATTTCTTTCTCTTTTCTCAGGGATCACAATTCCTCACTGTGTATTGTCCAATGAAAACAACTGTTTCATACATTATGGCCAATTTTCTAGTTGTTACCGGTGAGAGGGCAAGTCAAATTCCAGTTAATTTTCATGTCTGGAAGTTGAAGTTTCTTCATAGCAATCAGTTTTTGCACTGCTGGAATTGTTCTTGATAAGTCAATACAGGTATTTTCCAGAGAAGTCCAAGTGTCTTCTCTTTCTTTCTTCCCTGCTGCTACTGACAGATTACTTCCTAGTCTATGCTTTTTCCCCTCAAGCATCTAAGGAATTACATTTCCCTTGTTTTGTTACAGCAACCCATCTGTTCCTCTAGCTTTCCTCTGCTGGTGCTACTTCAGTGTCACTTTTCCTGTGATGGGTAATCTCTGGGGGTAGTGCTTGAGGCTCTCCATTATTCAGCTCCTTTTGGGGATTCCTACTTTGGTGCATGAGGCTTTGCAGTCATCTGCTGGCTGGATCAAGTGCATGCTGAAAAAGACTTGCTCCATATTCAATTTCCCCTTTTGTAAGTGCCCAAATATCAGCTCAAGCTCATCATTTCTAAAATATATAGACCCTACTTTCCTCATTCCAAAATTAAAAAAATATATATTATACATACACATCATTTCCTACATACAAACTGTAGAGAATAATATAATAAACATATATCAATCCAACATCTAGCTGAAAAAAAAAAAGCATTCAGATATAGCCGAAACCCTCAGTGTATCCCTCTCATTTATATTTTCCTTCCTGCCTTCCTTCTAGGAAGTAACCAGTTTTCGAATTTGGTGTTTTCAATTCCCATTATATATACAGGAATGTTTCGGAATATATACATATATATATAAAATTGTGTGTGCATGCATACATTTACATGCACTATATATCCCTAAACAATAAAAAGTATTTTACATGTTTTTAGCTCCACTCATTCTTCCATCCAGGGTTATAGCTTTTCTGAGCTTCTGTGTCTGAATGCAACAGACAAAACAAAGAGACACTCAACAGGACTCTTTGCCAGGGGCTAAGCGTTTTCCCAGTAGAGTGGTTATCTTACGGGGGTGGGGAGAAAAAGGAGCCAGTACAACTGCTTGACTCAATATACAGCCATGATCCTCTTAGGAGAAGGGCAATTCTGGCTACAGCAAGAGTTTGCCATTTGGTTTTGTTGCCTGAACTCATGGCAGAATTCTGGGAAGAACAAAAGGGTTACAAGGAAGAACTAACTGTGCAACTACTACTGATGCTACCACCGCCTCAAGTACCATCACATCTGTCTCACATGCCCATTATGAGTCAGGAACTGTTGTAAGTGTTTTTCAAAGCATTATCTTCTGATTACCAAAACAGTCCTCAGAGTAAAGAAACTAAGGCTACAAAGAACCTTAACCATACCTTTTTCCTGAATATCAGACCCTCATTCCAAGTGTTAATGAGCATCTTTATTCAGAGAGTGCACAGACATGTTAAACACATGTCTAAAATTTTGCCCTGCCTGTAGCTTCTACCCTCTTTTCCTCCCAGTTAACAGATGTGAGATTAAACCTCTTAGATCAAAGTCTAATCAATTGCTGTCCTGCCCCAAAGTCTTCAATAGCTTCCCATTACTTGAAGAATTAAGTACAAACTCCTCACCCTGGCATTTAAAGTCCTCTGCAGTAGGTCCCCGACCTATGTTCCTAGCTTTATCTCCTACTTTTTTCCTATACCGCAGCCAAACCAAACTATTTGCTGTTCTCCAAATATGCCACACATATTCCTCTCTCTGTGACCTTGCTCATGCTGTTTCCCTTACCTGAATGTTCTTCTCCTTTCCCCTACCTAGCTACCCACTGAAATTCTGTGCAATTTTCAAAGTCAATTTTAACCTTCCAGCTGCTCCTCTGTGTCCCTTGTTCTTCATTCTCCAATCATAACATTATTTTTCCTCCTTTAGCCCCAATTGCATTTTGTTGATACATCTTTTCTCTTCTTGAATTATACAGTGATTCTCTGTGTGCTTGACTTTTCTTCATCATGAAACTGTAAACTCCAAGAGAGCACAATCTGTGTCCTCCTCAACTTTGCTTCCCTAGCACCCAGAAGGATATAGTGCTGTATTAAATCATTGGATTGATGTAGTACTTTCTCTCTTAAGGCCACTATGCAAATAATTCACACTGAAACATGCCCAATGTGTATAAGGACTGAAATTGCATCTTTCAGTCTGAAGGGCTAAGGTCATTCTCCAGTCCTAGCCCATATCCTTGACCCAAAGTAAGCTGAGAAACAATCACTGTAATTCAGCGTGACGGAGTGGGACTTATCTGCTGAGTGTAAGAAGAGGCCTTAACTAATCAAGAAGTTGGGAAAGCTGGAAGACTTTGCACAGATCTTGCCTGAAACTAGGAGGAGGTGTTCAGTTGGTAAATTGATTTTTTTCTTCCTCTATAAAGGCATCATAAAAAAGATCTAGGTATAGTTTTGCTTAGAAGGTGGTTAAGAATTTAGAATGCAGGGTGAGTGTGTGTGTGTGTGTCTTGTGTGTGTGCACATGGTGAGCCCAGAGTGACGGCTGCATTGTTCCTGATCTTTGGCCCACAGCCACAGCAGATACAAGGGGTTGCCCTGGGCCTGGTCCTCTCCTGTGCAGTTCTACTGACTGTTTGGCACTGGAGAATGCAGAGGCACATGACAGGCCATCTTTTGCCCATTTGTTTCTGTCATGATTTTTTTTCCTTAAAGAGGAAAAAGAGGCTTGTGTTGTTTGTGTAATTTCCTTCTTTGCTTTGGCCTACACTAGGCTGTCAGCCCATTCTAGTCGTCTTCTTTCTCCAAATTAATATACAACATGTCATCACCTCTTTTTAAAAATAAAGATCCAGCTCTTCAGCTTCAACGACCTTAAAAAGCTCTTTTAACTCAACATTTCTAACCTCAGACTCAATGTTTGCTTCTCTTTCCCTTCCTTCCTCTGACACCCCTCTCTACCTCCTCCCACAAAAGAAAACTGGATCAGCTACTGGACTTTTGTTAAAGGCCCCCAATTTATTTGGTCACCCAATTCAAAACCTTGGCATCATTTGTAATTTTCCTCTTTGACTTGCCACCTCCCTCCTCCACCTTTAGTCAAATCTTTCCAGTGTAGTATTCTTTTGTAGTATCTCTCACATCTATTCCTAAGGCCATTTTTAGTTCAAGCCACTCATCACCAAGAAATGGAGGATAGGATAGGGGGAGGGGACTGGAGTATCACTTGGGATTTTTTTGAAACTACACGTTTTGCCTCTTCTACCCCAAGATTCTCATGTCCACTGGGGGGCCAGGAAGTTATAGCTTGGAAAAGCTCCATGGGTGCCACTGACACACACTGCTTAGCACCACTCATTCAAGCCCTGGCTGCCTGGACACCTGTAATCATCTCCAGCCAATCTCTTTGGCTTCCATTGCCTTCACCTGGTGATCTTAAAACACTACTTCAACATGACATCTTCTATTCAAATAGTCTCCAGCATCTCCCCACTGACTTCAGAATCAGGTCCAAACTTGCTGACACTCCATAATCTGATACTATCTTCTTTCTCTGCAGTGTCCTCAAGTAAGGGTACCCCAGGGTTTTTTTTTTGTTTTGTTTTGTTTTGTTTTGTTTTGGGGGGGATGGAGTCTCACTCTGTCACCCAGGCTGGAGTGCAGTGGCGCGATCTCGGCTCACTGCAAGCTCTGCCTCCCGGGTTCACACCATTCTCCTGCCTCAGCCTCCTGAGTAGCTGGGACTACAGGTGCCCGCCACCATGCCTGGCTAATTTTTTTGTATTTTTTAGTAGAGACGGGGTTTCACCATGTTAGCCAGGATGGTCTCGATCTCCTGACCTCATGATGCACCCACCTCGGCCTCCCAAAGTGCTGGGGTTACAGGCGTGAGCCACTGCGCCCAGCAACCCCAGGGGTTTTCTCACCCTCTTTCCTTATTCTATACACTCCACCCAGGAGAACAAGGGTATTCTTAGAGTTCCATCTCCTATCTGTATACTGATGACTACCAGATCTCTACCTTCAGTACAGATCTCTTTCCTGCAAGCCTGTACTATCCAACTGCTTATTCTCAAAGTGTCCAACTTATTACGTCCACCTCTTCCTCCCTTCCCTGTCTCACTACATGGCATTGCTGCCCACCAGTCACTCAGTCTGGATACCTGGGAATCACCCTTTCCTCTTCTGTGTCCCATACCCTTATCCATGCCCAATAAGTCACTAAGTCATTTTATTTATTTACAATATCTCCTGAGTCTGATCTTGCCATTCCATCTCAGATGCCTGACACAGAGTCTTACTATTTGTCTTCTGGCCCACAGGTCTCCCTTTCTCTGGCCTTGCCCTCTGTAATGAGTTCATCCTCCACACTGCCAACAGTGTAATTTTTCTAGAATGCAAATCTGATCATGCCACTCTCCTGCTTATTAAAATCCTTCAGTGTCTCCCCACTGACTTGAGGATAATGCCCAATAACTGCACACAAAGCCCTTCATGACCCACTCTGCCCTCCTTAATAGACACACAGCTTCTGCCCACTGAAGAAAGCTTATACCAAATTCCTTTGGTTTCCAGATGTAGCCCCTTCTCTCAGGGTTCTGCACCTTATAAGTTATATTTCCACTGCTTGGAATGATTTCCTTTTTTTTTTTTTTTGTCTTCCTAATTCCTTCTGGTTTTTCAATTCTCAGATCTAGAGCATCTTCCTCTAGAAAGCCTTTCTTGCTCTCCACGCCAGAGATTCTGTACTTTCTCCTCTGTGCTTACCTCTGTTACAGCATTTATGAGACTATCTGTGGTGGGTATGGGGTTTGGAGGGCTTTTTCTTTCCCTCTCCAGACTCTCTGAAAGAAGGAATTGTATTTTTTTTCCTTTCTATACCCAGAACCTAGACCAGAAAACGGCCAATAATAAACACTGAACGTTTGTTGAATAAGTAAATAATTGTACCTTTTCCAGCTTTCCCTCCCACTGTTCCCTCCAAAAAGCATCTTCTCCAGTCAATACATCTTTTAACCTCCCATCTACATACTTGTTCTTTCCACTTCCACACCTCGATGTCATTTCTCTCTTTGTTGACTGGTGGACAGCAATATAGTGAGACAGAGAGGGGAGGAGGAGGTCAACATAATAAGTTGGAAACTTGGAGTTTAAGAGGCATGCAGTAAGCAGTTGGATAGTGCTTTCCCTTATCTCTTATCTTTTTCTCTATTTATGTAATTATACCTGAACCTCCAGGTCAAGCTTGAATTCCGTCTTCTCCACCTGAGCACAAATACCACCTATGACCTCCCTCCAAATGTACCATCTTGGCTCTCATCAAATAGTGTTCTGAATGAGAAGTTATCTTTTTGTGAATGCATGCCTCATCTCATCTCTCCCCTAGAGCTTGTGCTCTCTTAGGGTAGAGGCCACAATGTTTAGCCATGGGCCTTGCTAATAATAGGCCTTGAATAAATGTGTTGCTGCGTGTTTAGTTCATAGAGTGACTAACCATCCTGGTTTGCCCAAAAGTGAGGGGGTTCCTGGGACACTGGATTTTCAGTACTAGAACTGGGAAAGTCTCTAGCAAACCAGGATGAGTTGGTCACCCTAGAGGTTCTCCTAAGCAGCTTTGAAGGTCTGTGTGTGTAGTCACATGGTGTTTCCTCTGGTGCATATTCCCTGCTTTGTTTCCACCGTTGGACTTTAATTGATGTGAGCTTTCACCATTGGAGACAAGCTCCATGCAGGCTGACTTCGTCTCATTTACCACTATACTCCAA